>NW_003315941.1:0-138655 GCF_000001405.40 Homo sapiens
CATTTTTGAATTTTTATTATCATCCAATATTGAGAGCTCTAATTATGATTTTATCAGTCTATGCACAAAAGTAATTCATATAAAAGTGTATCGAATTTTTCAGATATATAAAAAATATGTTCTTAAAAGTAAAGCTTATTTGGGCAGTTAGTCCTAGAATATTAAATTATTTAATGTAATGGTAATATTTTTTAAAGCCAAGGCATCTTAACAGTAGGAATTTGGATAAAACATTTATTTCACCTAATGAAAATACAATATGAGGAAGTTAACGGAAACATGAATAATTAATTGCATTAAATGTCGGTAGGTCTGTTCGAAAAGGATTCTATAGCATTAACAGTTGATGGACATTTTCTTGAAGTTTGTGATTATTCATTTAAATTGATAAGCTTGTGAAGTAAACAAGAAAATATACTATGTTTTTACCATAACTTTTGATCTTTTTCTATAGTGTTCATGACAAATGTCTCAAGGTGAGGATAGTATTCTCCATCATGTTAATAATTATACTTGAGTTCTGGTGATCTAAGACAAGAATGGTGGAAACAAAATTATGCATAATTTGAACATACTGATAGCAGCCACTAAAGCTCTTTCTAAAAGTTTTGCCCTAGGCAAGTTTTTAAAAATCATCTTTTATAAAATCACTCAAATGTAGTATTCTTGCCTCCATTAAAAATAGCTTCAATATCCTAAGGCAATCCATATTTGGTAACTATAGTTACATCTTTAAGTTGCATTTTATATGTGACTAGATCTGAGATTAAGAGCTGTCAGCTTCTTATAACTCTGATATTTAAAGGAAAAAAGTTTAGGTCAGAGAATCTTTAAAATATCTTTCATCTTTTATCCTCCTTAATTATGAAACTTTATCCTGAATATGATTCCTCTGTCTGCAGTTTAGAAGGCACAACACACTAAGATAAAATTGAACAATTTATAGATGATAGTGGTTCTCCGAGGATGATCAGTGTAAATCTAGCATCAGACATGGAGGAGGATTATTAAACACAAAAACTATTCAAGCCAGGTATGGTGGCTCATGCCCGTAATCCCAGCACTTTGCATTGCCGAGGTGGGAGGATCACTTGAGGCTAGGAATTCGAGGTTATGATGAGCCATGATCATGGCACTGCACTCCAGCCTGGGTGACAGTGACCCTGTCTCTAAAATAATAATAATAATAATAATAATAATAATAATAATAATAATAAAAAACCAGAAAGACTATTTGGCTCTTTCCCAACTTACTGAATTAGATATTCTACAGATGGGTTCTGGGGATCTGCAGTTTAACACACCCTCCAAAATTTGAGAATCTGCAAGTTGCTACTCTGGAATTGTGAGGAACAAGTTCTATTACCATGTAGCTCTTCTTATGCTTTCTTTCCATGGGTGATGAAATGCTAAACGTGCATAAACTCTTCTCTTTTTCCATCTTATTCCATCAAAGAATATAGATGAATCTTAAGGAATACAGAAAAAGACACTCTGATTCTATCTTGAGTAATCATCATAGCCTGGACAAGTTTGGAAATTTGGAGAAAGGCGGAGGGATATTTACTGGACAAGAATACCTTCTGTGATGTGAAGGAATAGATACTTATATGGTAAATAACCATGAAGAATCTGCTGCTGTACAAACTAATTTGTACAGTCAGCCAGCACAGAAATATCAGATATCCACATAGCAGCAGGCCACATCATTCACTTGTCTATTTATGCAACTGACAAAAGGAGAATCATTTAACTGAAAGTTATGAAAAATCTAGAGATAAGGAAATTCCTATGTATATTTTTATTGTAACACTTGTTAGGGGTGTGTGTGTGTGTGTTTATGTGTGTGTGTGTGTTGGTTGGTTTATTTCCAGTGATGTGAATTCCTTGCATCTTGAGTCCAGGGCCTGTCTTAATGATCTGAATACCCATCTCAGCTAGTAGTATCACTTTTTATCCACTCACCCAAATTCTTACGGATCTTCCTCACTCCTCTCTTTCTCTCACAGTTTCCAACCCACCTCCCACCTCAGCAAGCTCTGTCAGCTCTACTTTCAAAATACATACTGATTCTGACCAGTGTCAACACCTCCACTCCCACCACCCTGTTTCAGCCATCATCGTCTTTCACCAGAATTAATGGGAAAGCCCCTTACCCCATCTCTGATACTAGTCTCAAATCCTGTAATCATTTCTTCACAAAGCAACCCATGTCTCCTGGTTAAGCATGGACCAGATTCCGCTGCTCTCCCACTCTGAATCTTCCCATGGTTTCTTTCACACTTGGAATAAAATCCAGAGGTTTGCCTGAGGTCTACCAGGCCCCACAGGATCCATTTGCTTTCTCAACCTTATCTCCCCCTGGAAATACCACACTTGCTCCCCTTCCTTTTATTTCTGGCACATACCAAGGCTATTATCATCTGAGGCCAGTTGCCCTTGCTGTTCATTCCACCTGGAACGCCAGAGCCTCATGCCTCATTGTCGCCTCCTTAAGGCCTCTTTTCAAATTTCGCTTTCCAACGAAACTTTCCTAACCACATCTTCAAAATAGCTTTCTTCCTCTCCCTGCCTCCAGGCAATCTCTAGTCCTTCTGGGACTTATTTTTCTTCTTTGTATTACCACTATCTGAAATTATATCTGTATTTTGTATTGTTTATGCCCTCCACCAGAATATAAGCCCCGCAGGGTAGGAACTTGGTCCTGTTTACCACTGAAACTCCATGCCCAGAGCAATGCCAGCCATGCTGTAGTAATCAACAAAACCTTATAGAATGTCTAATCCCCAGCGCTGACACATAACCAGAGCTTCACATATCTATGCTGAGGGTCTAAATGAATGAATATTAGAAGCTTTGTTTTTCTGGTTGCAAATATTCCCCTTGAGCAGAATGTACTCCGTACAGGTGGCCATTCTAGCCTAGTCCTGAATTCTATTTCCTTGACCATATTTCCCCATGGGAAGGTTTATTTTCTCTTGTTTGAATGAAGGAAGTCAAGGAGCAGTCTATTTCTTATTAATTAAAAAAAGATTTGGGATTTATTTCATCCTGTAAAGTAATCAGAAATTAATTTTGCCCAACAGAAGGATACAGGGTGACATTCAAGTTATCATTAAAGCAAGTCAATATGAGCGATAAAACAACAGAGAGTTAATAATGGGCAATTCTCTACTTGTTTCTATCTTACTCTTCTCCAGTGAGGACCTAAATATTCTAAAACAATCCAGTTGTGTCTCCTTGTAATTTCAGATTCCTCATGAGATTACCAGGGGACACTGACTTAGGTTTTAGACACAAGCTGTCTTACTGTCACATTTCTAAACAGAAAGTCTTTCTTTATGGAACAAAAATAGTAGAGCGTGTAGCTGGAAAGCTAAATGGAGAAGCTAAGACCAAGCAGCCCTTTGGTCTCATGGAACAGTGTCTTTCTATTAGTACCTTAAAAAGTATCTTCAAAATATCATCTGCTTTCATAGGAAGAGAAGTATACCCTCTCATAATATTATCCAAAATGTTTTGGAAACTGACATTAATGATGAATGCAAAATAAAATCATACAGTAGCTTTATGTTACAGTTTCTTCCCCATCTTAGAATCAGTTTGTGGAGAATTTCAGTTTGTAGACAACTGATTCCCACATGTGAATTATAGTTAAATTACACCAGTGATGTCACTGATGTGGAATAAAAAGTGCTGTGAATTTTAGTGATCGCTATTTCACTACAGCTGTGAGCAATGTGTTCCATAAAGACTGGTATAATTCTCCCAGGAGTCATGTTAAAAACTTCACTCTTGCAACTCGTAAGCAACTAATGCTTAAAAATGTATGCAAAAGACACTTACCCACAAGGTCAGTATTTTATGTATTTCCTAGCTAACAAGTTTTAAAAAGTTCTTGTATTATTATCTCCATTAAACATTAGGCTAAAGTCCAGCATATGCTATGTAAATAAGCAAGTCTGCAAATTAAAGTAAGAGAGTGATCAAATACAATAAAGGTGATTTTCTGGTTTGAAATAAAAGCATAAGCACGCGATGTCTTTCAGCTTTAAATATTGAAGAAAAATAGCCTGGGTCAAAGGTAGAACAAGATTTTTCGTAAAGAGCTTTAGGATTGCCTACTTTTATTTTGGTTGGATTAAAGCAAATCGTTTGCATTACTGTAACCTGGGTCAAAGCTGGCCTGCGGGGATGGCTGTGTGCCCAGCAGACCCACTCCACCAGGGAACTGCCATGGTGGCCCTATCCACAGGTGTCCCATGGAGCACAGTCCTCTCCTTGGGGGGTCTCAATGAGTCACCATGGAATTTTCATTGAAGAGAGAAAGTTTCCCAAAAGAAAAACAACAACCGGCAACTAAAAATAAGCAGCTGTATTTAGTGTGGAGAAAGTGAAATTATTTCTTATATCCAGAATCCTTTACCTTTTTGCCCAAATCTGATGTGGTATGACTCTTAACAGATTACAGTCTTTGTCTAAGACATCTGTCTGGGTCCTTCTTGGCCACATTTTGCAAAAGGAGTATTTATTCCAGTCATTGAAAAAAATAGAGACTCAGGCCCGGCGGGGTGGCTTACGCCTGTAATCCCAGCACTTTAGGAGGCCGAGGTGGGCGGATCACGAGGTCAGGAGATCGAGACCATCCTGGCTAACATGGTGAAACCCCATCTCTACTAAAAATACAAAAAAAATTAGCCAGGCTTGGTGGCAGGCGCCTGTAATCCCAGCAACTTGGGAGGCTGGGGCAGGAGAATGGCGTGAGCCCAGGAGGCAGAGCTTTCAGTGAGCCGAGATCGTGCCACTGCACTCCAGCCTGGGCGACAGAGCAAGACTCCGTCTCAAAAAAAAAAAAAAAAAAAAAAAAAAAGAGACTCTTGGGTTGAGATTATGTGGGGGAAGAAAAGGGTTATTTGGGACAACAGTTGATAAAAAGATTATCAAGAGTGAACGTGGATAATGTCTTTGCTATGTGTCCCTACTATTATGAGCACTGAGAATGCAGAAATTATTTCTAAGTTATTTATCACCATACTCCCTGAACCTAGCTAAGTGTCCAGGGCCTAGAACATTGTACATGCTCAAGAGGTGTGTGTGTGTGTGTGTGTGTGTGTATGTGTGTGTGTTGAAATGAATAAAGGGAGAAGGGAAAAACTTAAAGAGGGAAAATGACCATGATACTGAGTATCAGGTCTAGAAAGTGATATATGGCCATTTTCAGAAGAACATGTAGATCCCTGAGCCTGAAGAACTAGGCTGTTGAACAAAGGACAAATCAGTGTGGGTGTTAAGAACTAAGATGGTGAACTCTGCCAGGACATTGGGTGCCTTTCTAAAAAGTCCCAATAGTGTGGAAACAAAGCTGCCCGACAGCTTATGGAAACTGTTTATGACAGCCACAAATGCCCAATGGACATATTTGCTCCTGTGGCAAGGCCCACTCAGCAACACCTGACACACTGGCCAGTGCTCCCTTTCCTTGCAACACTCCCTCCTCCTGCTCTTCCCACTCGAGTGTACATGAATCTTGAGAGCACGTGGATCTGTCTCTAGGCCTGGAAGACATAGAAAGGTTTCCAAAGACACTTCATTTATAATCAGGAAGTCTCTCAGACATCAAGCTATTTTGGCTTAATTAAGAAAAAAGATCCTTGACAGCTACAAGTGGAAAGTTCTTGGGATGGGATAGCCTTTAATAGCCCCAAACTTGGCAACCTTCTAAGAAGAAATTCTGCCAGTTCTTAATTTTAAAACTAAGGCTATATTTATGCAACACTTAAACAACTGGTTAATTCAGTGAAACTATCGCCCCAATTTAATTTGACGACATGTAAATGAACAGACTTTTGATTAACTAATTCACCTTCCAACTACTTGTCAAGATCTTCCAAAAGTGGGCTGATTTCTATTTCACACAGCTGAGATTTATGATATCATTAAAGAGCTAAGATTCAGTGACTTTAAACTATGCTTGAATTATAACTTAAAGCAATGTCTTACCTTAATAATGGTAGGGATATGAAGATTTGCTTTCAAACTTAGTGCAGCATTTCTGGCTTTTAAGTTTTAGTGACATATTTATCAAGGGCAACTAGGTGCCGAGTGCTCAAACGCACCTGTAATCATGCTTTTATCTTATGTTCAGAAAACTATAGCAGCCTTATTTTTTTTCTACATTTTGTGACACTAATCTCTTTCCTCTAATCTGTTTTATACTACTAAGGAAATCTTAAATATTATTTCATAGTTTTCCTCCTCAGAAAACTTCAACATTATGTATGTATACATATCTCATTATACCCAATATAATTGAACCTATAAAAATAATAAAAATATGAATAGGTATACACCAGAGTGATGCATATGGAAGTGTTTTAAAGATTCTTGTTTATAATCTGTGTTTTATTATTTTCTGCAATGCGTCTTACCTATGTAAAAGAAGTTCATTTACTTTTTTTTTGAAGATTCAGTAACTCAATTTTCTTGATTTAAAAAAAAGAAAAAGGTGGAAAGCATATATGAGTGTAGAAATAATCAAAATATAATGGTAATCACTATTAATGTAAATAGACGAAACTTTCTCGTTAAAAACAGTTGTCAAATTGGATTTAAAAACAAATAAAATACAAAAATCAAGCTGCATTATGTTTACAGGATATACACTTAAAACTTCTGGATAAAGATTTAAAGCCAAAAGACAGACAAACTCTGTTTACCACTCATTGATAAACAAAAGAAAGTTAATGTAGTCATTTTATTATCAGAAAAAGTAAACTTTAAGAGGCATTCCTAGAGATAAAGAATTCAACCACTGCTAAGATATAATAGTGCTATTCTCATATGCACCTAATAATATAGTCTCTGGGTATAGCCAGAGATTTTATACTACATCTCTCAGTAACTGATAAATCAAGCAGAAAAAAATCAACAATTCCACAGAAGATTTGAACAGTACAATTAACAAATTTGATCTGTGTAATATTCAGAGAACATCATACTCCACAACTGGGGTGTAAATATTCTTTTCAAACACAGGAAAAACTTTATGAAAGTTGACTGCGTTCTAGGACATAAAGATATACTCAACAAATATTAAGCCATTGATAACCATATAGCTCACATTTCTTAAATACCACCCAAGGAAGTAAAAAATCAATCTAGGCATAATTCTAGGCAAAGTTGACTACGTTCTAGGGCATAAAAGATATACTCAACAAATATTAAGCCATTGATAACCATATAGCTCACATTTCTTAAATACCACCCAAGGAAGTAAAAAATCAATCTAGGCATAATTCTAGGAAGAAAAAAACAAATATCTGAAAACTTAAAAATACATTTTCAAATAACTGATAGGTTTAAAGAAAGAAATCATAATTGAAATGTTAAGTATTTAAAACTAAATAATAACAAAAATATATTACAAAACCTGTGGGTTGAAAGTAAAGTAAATTTTGGAATGAATTTCATAGCCTTAAATATTTTAATTATATAAGAATGCTCAGAATTAATGAGCCAGACTGTTTATCCTAGAAAACCAAGGTTAATTTGGTAGCAAATTAATTAATTTAATTTACTGCATTAATAGATTAAAGGAGAAGTGCTTAATTATATTAATAAATACAGAAAAAAGTTTGGTAAATTCAATATTTATTAATGATAGAAAGATCTTAGCAAGCTAGGAATAAAAGGGAATTTCCCAAATCTGAAAAAGGTCATATCCAGAAGTATATTATAAATGTCATACTTGGAGTGAAATATAGGAAACATTCTCTTTATAATCCAGAACAAGACAGATATGCTCATTATCATAATTTCTAACCAGTTTAAAAGAGTTTTGCAAATGTATTTGATAACAAAATCTATATACAAAATTCATTTGTAAATCCACATGCCTGTAACAATCAGGAAATGTAATTCAAATAAAACAAACCAAAAAACTTTTTTTAATAGCTCTTAAATCAACAATAACAATAATAACTACCATGAACAAGAAAAGAACTATTAAAATACACTAATGTCCTTTATTGAGAAAATTATAACATTTTATTGTAAGATATTAAGTAATACCTAAATAAGTAGAGACATATACAGGTTGAGCATCTCTAATTGAAAATCCAAAATCTGAAGTGCTTCAGAATCCTAAACACTTTGACCACTGACATAATGCCACAGGTGGAGAAATTTTACACCTGATGTCATGTGACAGGTCGCCGTCAAAATGTAGTCAAAACTTTGTTTCATGCACAAAATGATTCAAAATATTGTATAAAATTACTTCAATCTATGTGTATAAGGTGTATATAAAATGTACATAAATTTCGTGTTTAGACTTGGTTTTCATCCCAAGATGTCTCATTATATATATTCAAATACCTCAAAATTCAAAACATTCCAAATGCTTCTGGTTCCAAACATTCTGGATAAGAGATGCACAACCTATATACCATGTTCTCAGGCATTATAAGGAAGTGAATTCTCTCAACTTTGGTCTAAAAATTCAAATTAATTTCAACTGGTTTTTCATGGAATTGGACAAACTAATTCTACCGTTTGTATCGATGAACAGAGATGATCCATGTGCCACTTGACCAATCAGATATTGTGACAGTGGACAGTGTGTTGTCACAGTACAAAAAAAATAGAACATTAGGACCAAATAAAGAACCTAGACAGAGATTCTTTCCTATTTGGTATTTGGCTTTTGGAAGAAGAGACATTGCAAATCAGTGGGAAAAGAAAAAAACAATGTAATTAATGACGCTGGAAAAAATGATGACCCCTGAGGATGAAAAGTGAAATTGAAGCCCTATCTCATCTCACACTCAAAAATCAATCCCAGTTGGATTAAAGACCTAAATGTGAAATGCAATATTTAAGAAATGTACTTTAAAAAGACAATATACCTCAGTATATCCTGTTGTTGGGATATAGAAGCATCTCTTAACATATTTAAATGCATTTAAATTAAGTATTTCTGGGCTGGGTGCGGTGGCTCATGTCTGTAATCCCAGCACATTGGGAGGCTGAGATGAGTGGATCACTTGAGCTCAGGAGTTTGGGACCAGCCTGGGCAACATAGCGAAACCTTGTCTCTCTCAAAAATACAATTAGCCAGGTGTGGTGGCAGGCACCTGTCGTCTCAGCTACCTCGGAGGCCGAGGTGGAAGGATCACCTGAGCCCAGGAGACAGAGGTTGCAGTGACCTGAGATAGCACCACTCCACTCCAGCCTGGGCAACAGAACAAGGCTGTCTCTAATTAATTAATTAATTAATTATTTCTGTTCAGAAAAACACTGTTTCAGGACACACACACACACACACACACACACACACACACACACACACAGAGAGAGAGAGAGAGAGAGTAAAAGATAAGCCAGGGACTGGGAAAGAATATTTCCAACACATGTCACTGAAAAATGTTTGCTAACTAGTATATACAAAGTCCTCCTATGGTTTAAAAAGGGGAGAAAACCTAACAAAAGCGATTAGAGAAACTGGCAAAAGGCATGAATAAACATTTCACAGAAGAGGAAATCGGAAAAGTCCATAAGCATATGAAAAGATGATAAACATCATTAGTAATGAAGTAAAATATAATTTAATATATTTACATGTTAAATCACAATGAGGTATTTTATTATGCACCAAATTGGCAAAGATTTTCAAAGTCAGAAAATATCAAGTGTTTACATGGATATAGGACAGAGACTGGCTAACTTTCCGTAAAGAGCCAGATAGTAATTATTTTAGGATTTGCATAAATTTTCTCATAACTACTTGACTGTGCTGTTGTATTACAAAAGCAGCTGCACACAATAACTCACCAAATGAACATAATTTTCTTCCAATAAACCTTTATTTACATAAACAGGCAGCAAACTTGATTGGGTTCATGGCTGAGATTTGCTGATCTCTGATGTGGAGGAAAACAGAAATCACGTGGGAGTATAAATTGGTATAAACCTTGGAAATAATCTTTGAAACTAGTTTGTGTACAGTGTATCCTGGCATGTACTATATAGGAACTCCAGCATATGTACACCAAAGAGGAATGTACAAGAATGTTCATGGCAGTTTGCTTATAATAACAAAATAACAGAACAACTTGTTTTAGCCTATTCAGGCTGCTATAATAATATATCATAAATTGGGTAGCTTGTGAGCAACAGGAAATTTATTTCTCACAGTTCTGGAGGCTGGGAAGTCAAAGATCAAGGTGCCAGCAGATTCAACATCTGATAAGGGCCTGTTCACAGACAGCACTTTCTCACTGTGTCCTCACTTGGCAAAGGGTGGGAGTCCCTCTTGGATCTTCTTTATAAGGGCACTATCCCATTTATGAGGGCTCTTCCCAGGTGACCTACCACGCTCTCAAAGGCCTCACCTCCTTGTATCACTACATTGGTTATACACATTCAGATTATATGCTATAGCATGATACGGTTAGGCTTTGTGTTCCCGCCCAAATTTTATCTTGAATTATAATTCCCATAATCCACACTTGTCGAGGGAGAGACCAGGTGGAGGTAATTAAATCATAGGAGAACTTTCCCCCATGCTGTTCTTGTGATAGTGAGTGAGTTCTCACGAGACCTGATGGTTTTATAAGGAGCTCTTCCCCTTCACTCAGTTCTCCTTCCTGCTGCTGTGTGAAGAAGGTGCCTTGTTTCTCTCTAGCCTTCCACCGTGATTGTAAGTTTACTGAGGCCTCCCCACCCATGCAGAACTGAGAGTCAATTAAACTTCTTTCCTTTATAAGTTACCCAGTCTCAGGTATGTCTTTATTGGCAGTGTGAGAATGGACTAATACACAGCATAACTCACATTATATCATCAGTAACATGGATAAATGTATTTTGTAATGTTGATACAAAGAAATGCTATGCAACAGAGCTAGACGCAGTAATTCCTGGATGCATCTGAAAAACATAGTATTGTAAAAAAGGAGTGATCACCAAGGAATATGTACAGTATGAGCCCATTTGAATAAAGTACAAATAAACAGACAACACTAAAATACATATATGTGTGTGTGTGTGTATATATATGTATATATAATTTGAATCACATGCTATGTGACCACACTAAATTGAGAAGCAAGACAATAATTAGTACAAACTTTAGGAATGTGTTCACCTCTTGGGGGAAGGACAGACTGAGATCTGGGAAGGCCAAACAAGGGCTTCTAAAATACTGGGAATGTTCTCTTTCTCAGTGAAGTTAGTAGACCTTTAGTTGTTGGTTTCATTTTATTCCTTAAATGCTAAGTATGTATTTTATATACTCTTGCATATGTGATATTTTGTAACAATATATCAATTCAACTGCAGTCTGAAATCAAATTAAATTACGTTTCAGGAAGATCACTCTGGCAGAGGTATTTGGTACGAACTAGAAGAGGAGGAAAGTAGTGTCAGGAAGACTAGGTTAGGAGAATATTATAGTATTCCCTGCATAAGGAGTGGTAGTCATGTAATTTGAGAAAAAGGAGTGCCTTTAATAAATGTTTTGAGGTAAGGATATAAAGATATTAGGTAGAGGTGATGGAAAGGATAGATAAGCCTAGGAAATTATTGTTGTTGTTGTTAACAATTTGGACCTTTTTAAAAATAGTTTTTGAGTACTTAATGAAAATATTTAAGAAAATGAGAGGAAAAAGCTATTGGAGAACTTTAGAGTGATCTAACCAAGTAATTATCCCTCCAAAGGAGCCTAAATGAAATGTTTACTTGAATGAACACAAAACAGAAGAAACAAAACAAAGTCTTGTTGTAGCAGTTCCCGAGGAAAGTTGAAGAGCATTTATTTTGATATAAAATAATGAAAGAATGGGTCACATTAATAATATCTAATGAATAAAGACCAAATACCTGGTACCATGCAATTAGTAGCTACTTAGAACATGAAAAGGTAGGGAGAAATGTTATCAACTTACATGGTGGCTAAGCCCTGGGTTCAAATCCTAAGTGATCTTTGGCAATGTTTTGAGAGTTTCTAAGGCTCGGTTTCCAATCTATAGAACAGGTATAATAGTATCTATTTCAGACAGTTTTTTGTGAGACTTAGTGTTTTTAATGTGCTCACTAGATCGCATAGCATACAATCAAAATATAAGTGACAAGAAAAATACAATGACTTTACATAATTAGCAACAATTGCGCTATTAAAAAATAACTGTTAGGTTTCTTTTTCTAATATCATCTTGGTTTGTTTCTAAAGTTTTTATAAGTGGAACTATCAGCCACTTGGGTTTTCTGCTTTGTTTTGCTGGAATTGCTCTCTTCCTCTGTCACTTTAACGAAACATTGGCTAAAATGTTGACTTTGTTTTATCTCATGCCTTGATACATTTCCTTATCTTTCAGTGACTTTTGAAAGGGTATATTCACTTAGTAAGGCTAGTTATAATTTCACAGAAAATGTCTTTCTCTCCTGTGACAGGGGTGTATTTTTAGGAAAAATAAAAAGTAAGTATACATCTTACTTCTAGCCACCTGCAAGAGAAAAATGAGTAGAAACGGGGTGTACATGCATTTAAATTTTGCTACTCCAGCTTCCCTTTCCTGTAGGAAACTCAGTTATAGTTTTAAAAAAACAAAAGAATAGATGAAAAGAAGGAAATGGAAAGCCCTTGGGGGAAGGAAGAATGTCACCGTTTGGAGTGAATAACTTAAATCGGCTACTGATACAGCTTAAGTTGAAGTTGTCGTTGCTTTTCCTGTTTTATTTTTTATAGGGTACATTCAACCTTTAATGGTTCAAAACTTATTTTTTCCACTTAATAGTAAAAACTATAAAGTCATGTCTTAACTGTATGAATGGGGATTACTTTAGGATTTTTTAAAGAGGCATTGCCTTGGGAGAAAAACACATATAGTCTTCAAGGTGAAACTTAAAATATTACCTTTAAATTCTTAATTATATTTTATGGAGATAATACTTCAGTCTTACTTGACTTTTGAATTAGATTGTTTAACACTTGGGGATATACACAGCTGCTATAAGAAATTAACTTTAGAAATATTTTAAAAGAAAATTGGAAAAAGAAAGAAAATGAAAATTTGTCTTCTCTATGAAAACCTAAATCTCTGTAGTCATTTTCTCAAACTGATCCAGCAGTAATATGTTGATTGCCATATTTGTAATATTTTGTTTTTTATTTTTATATTTAATATATATTTTTTAAGACAAGGTTTCACTGTGTCGCTGAGGTTAGTGTATAGTGGCAAGATCATAGCTCACTGGAAGCTCCAATCCCTGGGCTCAAGCGATCCTCCCTCCTCAGCTTCCTCAGTTGCATGTGACCACACCCAGCTAGTAATATTTTAATAGTAAGTTATGAATCACCAAACTATATCTATATAGTGCTTTAGTTATAGGTAGTTTTGCTATGTTTTATAAAAGAAGACAAGTTAGGTTTTCCTAAAGATATAGCCAGTCTTTTTCCTTTTTGGGGGGTTAGTGGGGGTGAGCTAATCACTTCTATTTATAATTTGCTTTCATTCACTTGCACTTCTTATATAGGTTTTCAGATGTCAACCTAAGTAAATACTGAAAAAAAGAAAAATCAAATACATACATATGGAAAATCAGAATCATTCTTATGAAGAAACTCATTCATTAGAAAAATTTGAAAATGGTTTCCTACCACTTCCTTCAAAACTAGGAGAAAATAAGTGGTGACCAAAACCATAAGACTAGAAGCATGGATAAATTCAATTAGCAATTAAAATTTTTTTTCATTTTGGTAAAATCCAGTCAAAGTAAGTTATAGACTCTTAAACTAAATTATTTTAATACGCATTTTGCTTTTTGCCTGTTACGTAGACAGGAGCCAACCTCAATGTCAGTTTGGTGGGATATGAATCAGGTAGTTACAGTGCCCACAGCTCTTTCTGTTGGTGGCATGAAATGTAGTGAGCTGTGGACTGAGTTGTAATCCTGTTTACTCAGGCTATTTACTATCTCCCAATGATAAAGGATGCAGTAATACCCAAGACTGGCAGAAAAACACAGGAGTGTGAGTAAATAAAACCAAAAATGAGATGTAGGCCCAGGCTTATTAACCCCACAGCAATGAAAAGATGACGACAGAGTCTAGACTTTACTCTCCAAGCCTGATAAATGATTATAATGGCCAGTACTTTTCAGTGTTTGCCATACCCTAGACCTGGAGTCTGCTACCCCTGGGCCATGGACAGGTAGCAGTCCGAGGCCTGTTGGCAGCTGGGCCACACAGCAGGAGGTGAGCGGTGGCTGATGGAGCATTACCACCTGATCTTTACCTTCTGTCGGATCAACCTTGGCATTAGATTCTCATAGGAGTTTGAACCCTATTGTGAACTGTGCATGCAAGAGATCTAGGTTGCATGCCCCTTAGGAAAATCTAACTCATGCCTGATGATCTGAGGTAGAACAGTTTCATCCCCAAACCACCTCCTTGCTTCCTGTCCTTGTAAAAATTGTCTTTCATCAAACCAGTCCCTGGTGCCAAAATGGTTGGGACCACTGCCCTAGACACTTGACTAAGAACTTCTTCCTGTTTTTTTTTTTAGATGGAGTCTCGCTCTGTAGCCCAGGCTGGAATGCAGTGGTGCGATCTCTGCTCACTGCAACCTCCACCTCCCAGGTTCAAGCAGTTTTCCTGCCTCAACCTCCCAAGTAGCTGGGATTACAGATGTGTGCCACCACACCCAGCTAATTTTTGTATTTTTAGTAGAGACGGGGTTTCACAATATTGGCCAGACTGTTCTCGAACTCCTGACCTTGTGATCCACCTGCCTCAGCCTCCCAAAGTTGCTGGGATTACAAGGGTGAACTACCATGCCCAGGCAAGAACTTCATATAACTTATATTGTGTCTTGTTCCTCCTGATAATATTGTATAGTAATTACTCTTATTATTATCATTCCATCAATGGGGAAACTGAGGCCGAGTGAAGCTAAATAAATTTGCTTAAAGTTACAAGCTAAGTAAATGAAGGAGCTAGCTTTTGAACTTAGAAGCAATACTTTCTTTATTTTTCCATAAGTTATTGGGGTATTTGGTTACATGAGTAAGTTCTGTAGTGGTGATTTGTGAGATTTTGGTGCACCCATCACCCAAGCAGTATATACTGCACCATATTTGTAGTCTTTTATCCCTGTCCCCCTCCTACTCTTCCCCCCATGTCCCCAAAGTCCATTTTATCATTCTTATGCCTTTGTGTCCTCATAGATTAGCTCTCACATGTCAGTGAGAACATATGATGTACGGTTTTCCATTCCTGAGTTACTTCACTTAGAATAATAGTCTCCAGTCTCATCCAGGTCACTGCAAATGCTGTTAATTCATTGCTTTTTATGGCTGAGTAGTATTCCATCATTCATATATATATATATATATATATATATATATATATACACACACACACACACACACACACACACACACACACACACATTTTATTACATTAAGGTATGTCCCTCGTATGCCGATTTTGCTGAGAGTTTTAAACATAAAGGGATACTGGATTTTGTTGAATGCTTTTTCTGCATCTATTGAGATGATCATGTGATTTTTGTTTTTAATTCTGTTTATGTGGTGTATCACATTTACTGAATCGCATATGTCAAACCATCCCTGCATCCTTGATATGAAACCCACTTGATCATGGTGGATTATCTTTCTGTTATGTTATTGGATTTGGTTAGCTAGTATTTTGTTAAGGATTTTAGCATCAATGTTCATCAAGGATTTCAGTTGGTAGGTTTTTTTCTCTATACTTTAAGTTCTAGGGTACATGTGCACAACATGCAGGTTTGTTACATATGTATACATGTGCCATGTTGGTGTGCTGCACCCATTAACTCGTCATTTACATTAGGTATTTCTCCTAATGCTATCCCTACCTCCTCCTCCTACCCCACAACAGGCCCCGGTGTGTGATGTTCCCCACCCTGCGTCCAAGTGTTCCCATTGTTCAATTCCCACCTATGAGTGAGAACATGCGGTGTTTGGTTTTCTGTCCTTGTGATAGTTTGCTCAGAATGATGATTTCCAGCTTCATCCATGTCCCTACAAAGGACATGAACTCATCCTTTTTTATGGCTGCATAGTATTCTGTAGTGTATATGGGCCACATTTTCTTAATCCAGTCTATCATTGATGGACTTTTGGGTTGGTTCCATGACTTTGCTATTGTGAATAGTGCTGCAGTAAACATATGTGTGCATGTGTCTTTACAGCAGAATGATTTATAATCCTTCGGGTATATACCCAGTAATGGGATGGCTGGGTCAAATGGTATTTCTAGTTCTAGATCCTTGAGGAATCACCACACTGTCTTCCACAATGGTTGGACTACTTTACAGTCCCACCAACAGTGTAAAAATGTTCCTATTTCTCCACATCCTCTCCAGCACCTGTTGTTTCCTGACTTTTTAATGATCACCATTCTAACTGGTATGAGATGATATCTCATTGTGGTTTTGATTTGCATTTCTCTGATGGCCAGTGATGATGAGCATTTTTTCATGTGTCAGTTGGCTGCATAAATGTCTTCTTTTGAGAAGTGTCTGTTCATATCCTTTTCCCACTTTTTCTGTGCAGAAGCTCTTTAGTTTAATTAGATCCCATTTGTCAATGTTGGCTTTTGTTGCCATTGCTTTTGGTGTTTTAGTCGTGAAGTCCTTGCCCATGCCTATGTCCTGAATGGTATTGCCTAGGTTTTCTTCTAGGGTTTTTATGGTTTTAGGTCTAACGTTTAAGTCTTTAATCCATCTTGAATTAATTTTTGTATAAGGTGTAAGGAAGGGATCCAGTTTCAGCTTTCTACATATGGCTAGCCAGTTTTCCCAGCACCATTTATTAAATAGGGAATCCTTTCCCCATTTCTTGTTTTTGTCAGGTTTGTCAAAGATCAGATGGTTGTAGATGTGTGGTATTATTTCTGAGGGCTGTGTTCTGTTCCGTTAGTCTATATCTCTGTTTGGTACCAGTACCATGCTGTTTTGGTTACTGTAGCCTTGTAGTATAGTTTGAAGTCAGGTAGCGTGATGCCTCCAGCTTTGTTCTTTTGGCTTACTGTAGCCTTGTAGTATAGTTTGAAGTCAGGTAGCGTGATGCCTCCAGCTTTGTTCTTTTGGCTTACTGTAGCCTTGTAGTATAGTTTGAAGTCAGGTAGCGTGATGCCTCCAGCTTTGTTCTTTTGGCTTACTGTAGCCTTGTAGTATAGTTTGAAGTCAGGTAGCGTGATGCCTCCAGCTTTGTTCTTTTGGCTTAGGATTGTCTTGGCAATGAGGGCTCTTTTTTGGTTCCATATGAACTTTGAAAGTATTATTATTTTTTTTTTGGTTATGTCCTTTCCTGGTTTTGGTATTAGGGTGATGCTGGCTTCATAAAATGAATTATGGAGGGTTCTTTCTTTCTCTATCTCATGGAATAGTGTCAAAAGGATTGGTACCAATTCTTCTTTGAATGTCTAGTAGAATTCTGCTGTGAATCCATCTGGTCCTTGACTTTTTTTTTTGTTGGTAATTTTTAAATTGCCATTTCAATCTCGTTGCTTGTTATTGCTTTGTTCAGGGTATCTAATTCTTCCTGATTTAAGGTAGGAGCATTGTATTTTTCCAGGATTTTATCCATCTCTTCTAGGTTTTCTAGTTTATGTGCATAAAGTTGTTCATAGTAGCCTTGAATTATCTTTTGTATTTCAGTGGTGTCAGTTGTAATTCCATCTCTGTTTCACTTCTTAGTAAGGTTATTTGGATTTTCTCTCTTCTTTTCTTAGCTAATCTTGCTAATGATCTATCAATTTTATTTATCTTTTCAAAGAACCAGCTTTTTTTGTTGTTGTTGTTCTGAGACAAAGTCTCGCTTTTGTTGCCCAGGGTGGAGTGCAATGACACAATCTTGACTCACTGCAACCTCTACCTCCTGGGTTCAAGCAAATCTCCTGCCTCAGCCCCCCGAGTAGCTGGAATTACAGGCATGTGCCATCACACCTGGCTAATTTTGTATTTTTAGTAGAGACAGGGTTTCTCCATGTTGGTCAGTCTGGTCTTGAACTCCCGACTTCAAGTGATCCACCCACCTCGGCCTCCCAAAGTGCTGGGATTATAGGCGTGAGCCACCGCGCCCAGCAGAACCAGCTTTTTGTTTCATTTATCTTTTGTATTTTTGTTGTTGTTGTTGTTGTTTCAGTTTCATTTAGTTCTGCTCTGATCTTGGTAATTTCTTTGCTTCTGCTGGGTTTGGGTTTGGTTTGTTCTTATTTCTCTATTTCCTTGAGGTGTGACCTTAGAGTGTCAGTTTGTGCTCTTTCAGTCTTTTTCATGTAGGCACTTAGGGCTATGAACTTTCAACTTAGCACCGCCTTTGCTGTATCCCAGAGGTTTTGATAAGTTGTATAATTATTGTCATTCAGCTCAAATTTTTTTTTTTTTTTTTTTTTTTTTGGGACAGAGTCTCTCTCTGTCACCCAGGCTGGAGTACAGTGGCACGATCTCAGCTCACGGCAACCTCCATTTCCCGGGCATCCCAAGTAGCTGGAATTACAGGCATGTGCCACCACATCCAGCTAATTTTTGTATTTTTAGTAGAGACAGGCGGGGTTTCAACATGTTGGCCAGGCTGGTTTCGAACTCCTGGCCTCAGGTGATCTGCCCGCCTTGGCCTCCCAAAGTGCTGGGATTACAGGTGTGAGCCACTGCGCCCAGCCCAAGTAATTTTTTAATTTCCATCTTGACTTCGTTTTTGACCCAGTGCTCATTCAGGAGTAGGTTATTTAATTTCCATGTATTTGCATGGTTCTGAAGGTTCGGAGTTGATTTCCAGTTTTATTCCACTGTGGTCTGAGAGAGTACTTGATATAATATCAATTTTCTTAAATTTATTGAGGCTTGTTTTATGGCCTATCATGTGGTCTATCTTGAAGAAATTTCCATGTGGTGTTGAATAGAATGTGTATTCTGTGGTTGTTGGATGAAATGTTCTGTATACATCTGTTAAGTCTATTTGTTCTAAGGTATGGTTTAAATTCATGTTTTTTTGTTGGCTTTCTGTCTTGATGACCTGTCTAGTGCAGTCAGTGGAGTATTGAAGTCCCCCACTATTATTGTGTTGCTGTCTATCTCATTGCTTAGGTTTATTAGTAATTGTTTTATAAATTTGGGAGCTCCAATATTAGGTGCACATTTGTTTGGGATTGTGATATTTTCCTGTTGGACAAGGTCTTTTACCATTATATAATGTCCCTCTTCGTCTCTTCTCTTTCAACTGCTGTTGCTTTAAAATTTGTTTTGTCTGATATAAGAATGGATACCCCTGCTCATTTTTGGTGTCCATTTGTATGAAATGCCTTTTTCCCCACCTTTACTTTAAGGTTATGTGAGTCCTTATATGTTAGGTGAGTCTCCTGAAGGCAGTAGATTGTTGGTTGGTGATTTCTTATCCATTCTGCAATTCCCTATTTTTTAAGTGGAGCATTTAGTGTGAGGTACCGTTGCATTCATCGTGTTCCTTGCTGCCTGTGTACTTTTGTCTTTTTGCTTTCTCTTTTTAACTTGTATTTTTGTTTTATAGGTCGTGTGTGATTCATGCTTTAAAGAGGTTTTGTTTTGATGTGTTTTCGGGATTTGTTTCAAGATTTTAGAGCTCCTTTTAGCCGTTCTTGTAGTGATGGCTTGGTAATGGCGAATTCTCTCAGCGTTCGTTTGTCTGAAAATGACTGTGTCTTTCCTTCATATGTGATACTTAGTTTTGCTGGATACAAAATTCTTGGCTGATAATTGCTTTGTTGGAGGAGGCTGAAGATAGGGCCCCAATCCCTTCTAGCTTGTAGGGGTTTCTGCTGAGAAATCTGATGTTAATCTGATAAGTTAATCTGCTATTTATCTTATAGGTTACCTGGTGCTTCTGTCTCACAGCTCTTAAGATTCTTTCCTTCATCTTAACTTTGGATAACCTGAAGACAATATGTCTAAGCAAAGATCTTTTTGCAATGAGTTTTCCAGTTGTTCTTTGTGCTTCTGGTATTTGGATGTCTAGGTCTCTAGCAAAGCTGGGGAAGTTTTCCTCGATTATTCCCCCCAATATGTTTTCCAAGCTTTTAGTGTTCTCTTCTTCCTCAGGAACACCGATTATTCTTAGGTTTGGTCTTTTAACATAACTCCAGACTTCTTGGAGGCTTTGCTCATATTTTCTTGTTATTTTTTCTTTGTCTTTGTTGGACTGGGTTAATTTGAAGACCTTGTCTTCGAGCTCTGAATTTATTTCTTCTGCTTGTTCAGTTCTATCACTGAGACTTTCCAGAGCATTTTGCATTTTTAAAAGTATGTCCAGAGTTTTCTGAATTTTTGGTGGTTTTTTCTTTAGGCTCTCTATTTCCTGGAATATTTCTCTCTTCACTTCTTGTATCATTTTTTGGATTTCCTTGCATTGGGCTTTGCCTTTCTCTAGTCCCTCCCTGATTAGCTTAATAACTAACCTCCTGAATTCTTTTTCAGGTAAATCAGGGATTTCCTCTTGGTTTAGATTCATTGCTGGTAAACTAGTGTGATCTTTGTGGGGTGTTGAAGAGCCTTGTTTTGTCATATTACCAGGGGAGGTTTTCTGGTTCCTTCTCATTTGGATAGGCTCTGTCAGAGGGAAGGTCTAAGGCTAAAGGCTGTTGTTGGCAGATGCTTTTGTCCCACAGGTATTCCCTTGATGTAATACTCTCCCCCTTTTCCTATGGATGTGGCTTCCTGTGAGCCAAACTGCAGTGATTATTGTCTCTCTTCTGGGTGTAGCCACCCAGCAAGTCTACCCAGCTCTGGGCTTGTACTGGGGGTTGTCTGCTTAGAGTCCTGTGATGAGAACTGTTTATTGGTCTCTCAGCCGTGGATCCTGGCGCCTGTTCCAGTGCAGGTGCTGGCGGGTGGGGAGGAGGTGCAATGGACTTGGTGAGGGCACTCAGCTTTAGTAGTTTAATGCTCTATTTTTGTGCTGGTTGGTCTCCTGCCAGGAGGTGGCACTTTCCAGAAGGCATCAGCTGTAGTAGTGTGGAGAGGGACCAGCGGTGGATGGGGCCCTAGAACTCCCAAGATTGCATGCCCTTTGTCTTCAGCTACCAGGGTGGATAGGGAAGGCCATTAGGTGGGGGAGGGGCTAGGCGTGTCTGAGCTCAGACTCTCCTTGGGCAGGTCTTGCTACGGGTGCTGTGGGGGATGAAGGTGAGATTCCCAGGTCGCTGGAGTTGTGTACCTAGGAGGATTATGGCTGCCTCTGCTGAGTCATGCAGGTTGTCAGGGAAGTGGGGGAAAGCCGGCAGTCACAGGTCTCACCCAGCTCCTATGCAAGCCAAAGGGCTGGTCTCACTCCCACTGTGCCCCCCGCCCCAACAGCCCGGAGTCTGTTTCCAGTTGGTGGGCAAGAAGGGCTTGAAAACTTGCCCCAGGCTACCCGCCTCCCAGCTGTGAAAGAAAAGGGCTTGGTTCTTCCCCTACCTGTGGAGTCTGCACACGGGATTTCTGCCCTTCCCATAGTTCTGGCCCAGAGGTTTCTCACCTGGTTCAAATTATTACAAAGTTCAGCTAGAGATTTTCTTCTCCCTGTGGAGTTTTACACCCTGCTCCTCTGGTCACCCTCCCGATGGATCCCTGTGGTGCCAGGCAGGAATGACCTGCTAGGGGCTGCAGTGAGCTACCAGGAAACTGCTGCTTCCTCTACTCCTATATTTTGCTAAGCTTTGAGCTGATACTTTAAACCTTTTACTGTTGTTCTGGAGTGAAGGAAGATTTTAACTGACTCCTAGTGTAGGAGATTCTATGGAGAGACCAGAATTAAGTGTTCATGTGTGTTAGTTAAGATACTAACATTCTTGTTCAGTTTGATTTGAGGATCTAGTAGCAATACCAATGCCCTGTGGGTGTCCAATGGTATTATGAAAAATCTGATGAGAAATATTGCTTGTTATAATTTAGATAAGCAGTTGAAAAACATTTTTAAAAAGTTATATCTGTAAATTAGACATTTTGTTTTGATTAACTGTCATATCTCCAATTGTGTATGGAGTTTCAGCAAGAATATCAGAATAAAGGCATCCCAAAATAATTCATTTTAGGGAAGCTATAATATATGTGTGGAACATGCACTAGGTTAATTATTGCAGTCATTTACAATGACATAAGGTTTATGTAGCATCATGAAGAAAAATAATGAAAATATTGGGATATGCAGAGAATATATTGCATATATACTATAGTTATGACTATATTCTGAAAGGCACTTTAAAATATTTAGAAAGAAATACAGCAAAATGCTAACAAATTGTTGGATCATGTGGGTGGGATTTTTTTCTTTCTCTAATTATGAGTTTTAAATAATGTATTTAAATTACTTTCATAATGGAAAAGAATGAATAGAACACCAAAACAGAAAAGCAAGAATGTATTTGGAAGAGGCATTTCAGGCTTGTAATCAACAGAGTTTCTTGACCTGTGCATGTGGCTGATGATCAAGAAGGAGGAGCTGAAGATGATTCCAAGTTTTTCTGAAAAGTTAAATGGATTCTCCAGGATGGAAGGTGCAGGTTTTCAATGAAGGTAATTGAGTTCAGTTTAGACATTGTTGAGTATTGCAGTTAACCCAAATAGTGAATACAGGAGGTAGGGAAAGGGATTTTTGAAGAAGAAAATCTGTTAAGTTTTTGCTGTCAGGTTTGTTATAAGCTGAACATCCACCAGACAACTGGTAATTTTATACTGATGTTTGGAACAGAAGTAAGTAGTGATTATCAGTAGGAGAGCTACCTGCTGATACATAATGACTGCAACTCTGAGTGTTTGTAAAATCACCCAGGAAAAGATCTCAGGGAGGAAAGCAGAGCCAGGGAAAAAACCTTGTGACACTCAGTTGGGAGGAATGGACTTGAGTGGGTGAGATGGGGATGCAGAGTCCACTTCAGAGGCTAGTGCTTCATTTCTTCTGTGAGTTATTGAGGATATTGGGAATAAGAGTTAGACACTGAAAGTAAAAGCTACTTAGGCATATAACTGAGTTTGAGAGGTGATGAAGAAAGTAAATGTGGATGACTCTCAGGTAAGTACTATTTGAGGGTATGAATGGTAATGTCACCAAACTTATTAATGGAATAAAGAGGGCAAGCAGGTTTAGGGAAAAATCATGGATTTAAATTTTGAGTCTTAAGAGAGTTCATGGTACATCCAGGAAGAAGTAATCAGTCGGCATGTAGATCGGAGTGGAGCTTATGAGAGAGGTCAGGGCCAGCAATAAAGACCAATGTGGAGATGACGGTAAAACTGTGGCGCTGGGTTGACATCCCAGAAAGAGTAGGTCAAACAGTATCAAATACTGCATATAGGGCCAGGACAAAGACTGAGAGGTAGCTGCTGATTTGGCTGTTGGGAGGGTCATTGGTACTTTGGTCAGAGTATAGGACAAAAAGTCTGAATGCAGTGGGTGGGGTAGTGAGTGGGAAGTGAGAGATTGGCAACAGCAAATACAGGCCACTCTCAAGAACATTGGTAGATATAAGGTGCAGAGCCCCTTAGACTGGGGAAGAGATGTAGGTTATGGTTTTATAATGTAGAAAAGGAGCTAGGGAAGAAAGAGTGGTTGAAAAGACCTCCTTGGGAGATAATGGATCAAGTAGGCCCTAAAGAAGGTGGAGGGGAGTGGCGATACCTGTTGCTCTAAGGAGACCACCCTGAAACACCTTGTAAACACATATTCAACCAAGAGTTCTCTTCCTCTCTCTATATACATGCAAACTTAAATTTATGTTATAACTAGTCTGGGATTGTTCCAGAAAAATAATTAACAATCTTTAAATAAATATGTTCCTGCTGTTCTTCACCCTTGAGCTAGCTATTAGAGTTACCCAAGTAAGGAACAGCTCCATTATCAATCAGGTCCTGAAATTTGGATTGCCTGCCCTTTGATTTTGAAATCAAAGCCTATTTCTCCTCAATTCTTTGACAGTGGAGACTGCCTTACTTTCATCAATAGGTGCCCGAAGCGAATATTCCTTGGAGCTTATCTGTTAAGTCCTATCACCCCAAAATATCCTCCAAGTTTGGCAAAAATCGACCTAGCTTTTTTTCTTACTTTATAAGGTAGTAATAGAGAAAAAGTCAATTTCATTTACCTATACATTAAGCATATAGTGCATATTTTGCATATATTGCCCCAAACCTTCATTTTTAGAGTAAAGAAAAAACAAAGGTCTTAAGGGGTGACTAAGTTGTCTAGGGTCGTAGAGCTGGGCAACAGCACAGCAGGAACCAGAAATGAGGCTCACTGGCCTGAGTATCTTATATTGTATGGCATGTGATTGCCAATTTATATCAAACATGTGAATGCTTTTTCTTTCTTTCACTTCTTTTTCTTTAAATGTGTATACTGTGTTTGTCGTACTTGGCTTCAAACAATAGGTTCATCTTCTTATTACTGTGGACGATCTGTTTGAAAGTTTTGCTACCTTCAGGTGTGAAAGGATCTGGCTGCCAAATAAATGAAATACTGTTTCCACTTGCCTCAACTGTGATCTTATAAAGCAGCTATAATTGGTTTATTCCCTTTGTCAAAAGAATGAGTTTGTAGGACTTCTTAAGCTTTAACATTTGCACGGTTGCATATACCATGTCTGGAGTGATGTATAAGTAATAAAAAATAAAAATAAAATGAAACAAACCTATCTTAGAACTGGTATATTATTGATTTCAGAAGTTGGTTGGTTCTAGTTTTATAGATTTAAATATAAAACATATGAAAAGATTCTTTTGAAATTGAGCCTTTAAGGTTTTCTTAGAAGAGGAGATTTTGTATGTGTCAATTGAATTAAACATGACGGGGGATTCCCAGGGTGGAAATTTGAGCTCTTTAGAGAGTGTTAGGTGGTTGGACTGAAGGGACAAATAATGCAGAGACTTGGAAAGTTTGTAGGTCTTATCAAATCTTATTTACCCTCTTGAGGGTGGCAGCTTGTAAATCAAATTAAGATGTGTCACTGTTGGTAACTAAATTCCATGATAATTTTTCAATTATTTTCTGTGGCAATAATCCTGCGTATTTAGTTTGGGTTGATTCCATTTCATTTTGGAACTGGAAGTTCATTTGTATATCATGGACCTTTTTTGTTTCATTTGAATGATATAAATTTTTTGATGACAGAGTACAACTAAACAAAACAAACCTATAGCCATTGCCGACTCTGTTATATTTAAGGGTGTTTCTTCAAAATCAAGACATAAATAAAGTGCATCAACAAATAGGAATGGGTTGGTCTGACTTTAACAATTATGTGGGCAGGAGTAGGCTTAAATTATAGCTCAGCAGTTGGGGAAACCCTTCTTATTCTAAGAAGCTGAAGTCAGTGACTTGGAAATAACATCAGTGTGTTAAGAGTTCAGTGTGTGACACGTGTTACTTATTTGCTGTGGACATCACTATAGTGCATACACTTTGGCATTTTGAGGATTGAAAATTGTCATAGTGATTGTTTTTCATGTTTGTATTAGGTGATTTTCTTTTTCATTGATTTTAAAAGCCTACTATGCATCTTGTTCTAAATTTTTAAAAAACAGAAAAAACTTAAATAGAAACACTGCCATATTAAACTTACCATGTAGAGGTAACTACTGTAAACATTTGGGTCTTCTTCCCTCCTGGATTTAAAATATATTAATAATAATAGTAATACCAATAATAATAAAAACAAAACAATAACATAATACCAGCTAACATTTATTGAGAACTATGAACCAGACACTTCTCTGTGTGATTTATATACATTTCTTCATTTGATTCTAACAAAATATTATGGGGTAGGTAATATTACCATTCCAATATTACAGGGGACTAAGACACAGAGAGGTTAAATAACTTGGCCAAAGGTACACAGAGTAAAGTGTGGAGTGTTTGAGTGTAAATTCAAGCAGTCTGAACTGTTACTTTCTGCTGCCACAAATATATGCTCATTTATATTTGATTTAAATTATACGTTAGAAACAATGTAATATTCTGCGTTTTTAAAAACTTATTTTCATAAAGATTTCTCATGTTAATAATTCTTTATAAATGTAAAGTCATCTAATTTTTCATTATATAGCTGTACCCTATTATATATAATTATTCCCTTTAAGTCAGGCATTTAGATTGTTTATAGGTATTTAATATAAATAATGCTATGATGAACTATTTTTATATAAATCATAGCTTATCTGATAATTTTCTTTCTTTCTTTTTTTTTTTTTTTTTTTTTGAGACAAAGTCTTCCTCTATCACCAGGCTGGAGTGCAGTGGCATGATCTTGGCTGACTGTAACCTCCGCCTCCTGGGTTCAAGCCATTCTCCTGGCTCAGCCTCCCGAGTAGCTGGGATTACAGGCGCCCACCACCACACCCAGCTAATTTTTGTATTTTTAGTAGAGATGGGGTTTCACCATGTTGGTCAGGATGGTCTCTATCTCCTAACCTCGTGATCCGCCTGCCTTGGCCTCCCAAAGTGCTGGGATTACAGGCGTGAGCCACCGTGCCTGGCATCTGATAATTTTCTTAGGATAGATGTCTAGAAGTAGAATTATTGCCTGCTATGAAGACATTTTAATGTCACACTTTTCTAAATTATTATGACTACAAGGCCATTTGGAAAAAAATACCCCACATCTACACATAAACTTCAAATCTTCCTTAAAATTTAATTAATGGGACTACTTACATTTTAGAAGCTTTTATGATGTGATGAGAGAAGGCAGCAGGCTAAGCAACGGGGAGACCATTCTCTAAGTCAAGCCTGACCTTTGCTCATTAACAGGCCACTGCCTTATCTTTGTATGAAACTCCTGGAGTTAATCCATACACAGAGTACCCATTGGTTTTGAATATGCTGTGTTCTCAGAGCAGCTTTTTAGGGGAACACAGCAAGAACAGAAATTAGGCCAAAGATTGCAGAGCATGTGCAGATGCTTAAAAGGCACAGCACAAAATGTTGTTTTTAATCACAATTCTTACAGACTTCTTTGTAACAAAAAAAAGAGCATAAAATAAAATTCTGTCCCAAAGGAGCAGTTAGCATGAATATAGGAATTCCAAGGTACATTATGAAATAAAGACAGAACGAGGCCTTGGGAAACATCTTTATTGTTGAAGCGGAAGTACCAGTGATTTGAATACTTCTTCAATCAGTACCAGTGATTTGAGTGTCCCTAAAGTGCTACTGGTGGTGGTAGAACTCAGTTCCCCAAAATATTTTTGCTTCTATTAGTAACCCACCTGCTTTTCTCTATTTTCTTGTTTAGTTCTTCACTTCTGTCTTTCATCCTGGCCTTATCATTCCCACCCCCCAAAAACCATTTATTTGGCTTTATCTTAGTTTACATATGTATATGTATATGCACACACACACACGTGCATGTATGTGTGCATGCATATGCATGTAAATATTTTTAAAAATATGTACGGTCTTCATTAGCCAATAGTCCTGGCCCTTAAGTGAAAATATAAATCATTATGCAATGTCCCCTCTTTATTCTTTGTCTTCACTTGGTGTTTCCATGCTGTCCCCTGTTCCAGGCAGATTTTTCCACCTGGGACCAAATTTGTCATGGCTATTTTCTGAAAAATGATGGCTAACTAATCGAGTGAGCAAACTCATGCTAAATGAAAGGGTATGTTCCTGGCTCTAGTAAACTGAAAAATGAAAGCAAGAGGCTTAAATACAAAGTGATTATAATGAGAATACATAAATTTCTAATAGCATTTAGGATTGTCTAGGAGATTAAGTTTCTGCAGTTATACCTTTCCTTAAATAACATACAAATGCCCCTTTCTCAATGCTCCCTCAGGGAAGGTAAAACTATGTATAATGTTACCTATTATATAGGATCTATTGGTTCTTTATTCAGAGGCTTAGGTTTAAATTCTTGACTTTCAAGGAACACTATAGAAAAAACTCCCCCTTGGTGACTCTCTAAATACCAAACAACTGTGGCTCCCAAATTTGGCTGCACATCTGAGTCCCCTGGAGAGATTTATAAAAATGCAATGAGGCCTGGGAATTTACATTTTTTCAAAAGCTCCCCAGTTGATTTTGCTGCTCAGCCAGGTTTGAGGACTGCTGTTAAAGTGGCTGCTTGGACATTAGCTAAGTCATTTTCTGTGCCTTCAGTGGATGTTCAGTAGGTGGCTAACAGTTATTGAGCATGTACATTGTGCCAATCACCATGACATTTTACAGCCAAGGAAATTTGTTTAGGTTTGTGAGTGGCAGAAACGGCGTTGAAGTGTCCAACCCTCATTTTTATGATGCTTCTCAACAAAACGTTGATTTAATTACCAAAAAAGGTAAGGGACAGGCTGAAGTTAAAAACTCACTCATTAACTCTCACATCTTAGTCAATCGGTTTCTTCATCATAAAATGGAAGTAATATCTTTTTAAGATACTTTTTTTTTTTTTTTTTGAGACAGAGTCTCGCTGTATCGCTCAGGCTAGAGTGCAGTGGTGTGATCTCGGATCGCTGCAACCTCCACCTCCCGGGTTCAAGTGATTCTCCTGCCTCAGCCTCCCTAGTAGCTGGGACTACAGGTGCATGCCACAATACCTGGCTAATTTTTGTATGTTTAGTAGAGATGGGGTTTTGCCATGTTGGCCAGGCTGGTCTCGAACTCCTGGCCTCATGTGATCCACCTGCCTTGGCCTCCCAAAGTGCAGGAATTACTGGAGTGAGCCACCGCATCTAGCCAAGATACTTTTTACTTTATTATGAAATAATTTTATACTTAGAGAAGAGTTACAAAGCTAGTACAGAGAGTTTCTATATACGCTTCACCCAGCTTCCTCTAATGTTAATTTCTCATGTAATTTATATCTAATATAAACATTTTACATAACCATAGTATATTTATCAAAATAAGAAATTAACATTTGGGCTTCCCCAGTTTTTATACTATCTGAGTTCATTCAGGTTGCTATGAAAAATACCTTACACCTGTTAATTTATAGATAACAGAAACTTATTGCTCACAGTTCTGAAGGCTGGGCAGTCCAAGATCAATCCAAGATCAAAACACTGGCAGCTCTTTTGTAGAGTATCCTTCATTTTGAGTTTGTCTGATATATTCTTATTATTACATTGATGTTATGAATTTTGAGATATACCCCAGAAGTGATATATTTGTGTTGCATTGTACTGGGGCCTTTGTAAGATTTTTGACAAAAAATACATGTATTCTCTCATTAGATATATTTAAGTAACAGATAGATGACTATTTGCAATGCTGAATGAATCTCTGTGCTGTGTGGGGCTGGATCTTCAAGACCCCTTTCAACTCTAAAAGTCTAAAACTAATAATTGAGCATTGCAAATAAAAAGTCACATATGAAAGATGAATATGAAATTTGAGTAGAGCTCAAAGACTAGAGAATTAATTTTCCAAATAGTGATCCCTACTTTAAAGAGTATTAGGGTTTTCCTACCTGGGGGCTGAACTCAGAATGTGTTCTCTGCTTTGTACTGGGGGCTTTTCCCAATGTGGAATTGGGAATGTGGAATCCCAATGTGGAATTGACCTTCAGTCAATTTCCCCTTATTATAGCCCCTGAAGTGGCATCTGTAAATGCATGTTTGCTATGGGTAATTGAAGCTACTAGGTTTCTCTTGTGGTTTTCCTCTGTGTTACTAAAGATTAAATTGATGTGTAGTTGAGTAGCAAGCCATCTAATTTGAAAGATAGAAATGACCTGACTCTAACTATGAGTGTAGTTTGGATATGTTAAGTAACCTTTTTGTCTTAATTTTTCCAGCTGTGAAGCATAATTCCTACTGAAATATATTGACTTCTACAAGTATTGGACTAAAAACATATCTCCAGAAATATAACACCTACCCCTGGCAAAGTCTGATGTAACATGGTTAACCTAGAAGAGTTAATGCTGTGTGTCAACATATGCCTTGTAAAGGTGCTACATTATATAATTGTAAAAATGAAAACACTAAACAAAAGAGTTTATTTGAAATCTACTAAAGTCCCTCTGGTGAAAAGGAGGCACGATTTTAACACTGTAAATGCTATGTTGGCATGTCAGCTGTATATCTTGGAAAGACCACAGTGCTATGGAAAATGGTCTCAGAAATTAGAATGCCTGATTTAGCCAAAAGGCTTCAGCCACCTGCCAGATATATGACCCCCTAACAAATCATCTAATTGCACCACTTGGCTTCTTCATCTGTTACAGTAGACAATCAGACATGAATTCTAAGATTCCACCTCCTAAAATCTATAATTCTTTGATTTTTTTCAAGACCTCAGCCTACATATCCGTAAAGTGATTGATTCTGTCTTGCTAATACTGTTCATAAATACATATTTCTGATATTCCTTTGACCATTCAGAAAATGCTTGGCTACCCATTTTTTCCAGCCTGAAAAAGCAACTTAAAAAATGGTTAATCATTTGTTTGAAAAAATTGATGCTTTTTTGTTATATATAAAATGACCTCTTCAATCTCAACAGAGAATATGGGATCTGGTCATGTTTGAAATAGAAAATGATGTCATAAGTAAATACGTATAAAATTTAATGATTAAACTATCTGCTCTAGATGTTCCAAGTTATTTTATTGGCATGAAAACTGTAAAGTGTTTGGAAAACAGTTTCATTGTGACAGGTATAATCAACACATTTTCTATAGTTGCAGACCTGTTCACAAACAATGTTAAAAGAAAAATAAAGTGACATAATGTCTGGGAAAGAATTCCCTAATAGAAACAGACCCAAGTCCATGGTTTGTGGTTTTGCAAGTATACAATTCCTTCTGGGAGGCCTTCTGGACAGATTTGTATCTATCCTAAAAGGAGTATCTATGTTTAACTGCACAAAGGTGATATCTCTTCTGTGTGGTCTGGTCCCTTCTGTTATCCTTGCTGATCTAAGAGAAAGAAGCATGTTACCCTATCAAACTCCAAACTACACTTTATGAACATCTACTTCCTTCTGTAACCTTTGCCAGCTCTAGCTAACCCTTAAAGGTTCAGGACAAAATACCTTTTGAGGGTCTTTAATGTCAGCTTCAGTCAATTTCTCATCATGCTGAAAGGCAAATGGAGCTTTGTGATAGGCCAAATGTGTCATGAATAAGCAAACATACCAATTCATGTTGAATTCTAGTGTGGGATCATTCCCATTTAAGAGTTATTTGTTTTTAAAAATAATGGGGAATCAAACTCTTCAATTATGATTTTTTGTAATAGTTTTAATGGTTTACAATAGACCACCTTCAAATAAATATATCGGCTGCTTTGGTGATCAGTTTCAAAATCAGAATATTCAAATTTACATAGAAAATGGCAAAATCAAACACACTTTTCAACAATGCCTATAAAACTTGTCATTACACTATAAATATGAATATCACACTCAATCTCAGTTGTGTAGTAAATGTTTAACAGCTAGCTCTCTGGGGGAAAACCTTTGATATTTGTAGTGTTTGCCCATGTTCATGGTGTAAATAATCTCATTATGGCCAATTTCAAGCAACCCAAGTTATTGAATATGGAATTGGGAAGAAATGTGTACAGTCAGCTCTAGTACACCACTGATCATACCCATTAGATGAATGAAGAAAGATGAAAACCATTTGGCAGAGTCATAGACGGCAAAAGGCCTGTTTCCCAGGTTCAGTCCTGCAAGCCCAGCAATTTCAGACGTACTTGCCTACTTCACAACATTAAGAATATGTTTCTGGTCAGGTGCAGTGGTTCGAGTCTGTAATCCGAGCTACTCAGGAGGCAGGGGTGGGAGGAAGGCTTGAGATCAGTAGTTCGAGACCAGCCTGGGCAATGTGGTGAGACTTTCTAAAAAAATTAATTAATTAAAAAAATAGTAATTTTCTGTACAAAAGTAGATTAAAACCAAATGTAATTTCTTTTTGATAAGACTTTTTACCACTATTTAAAAAATGAATTCTTAAGAATTGAGTAATTTTCATTCAAAATTACATGTGTAAGAGATTCCTCTACATGAAATTAGAGAGTACTCTTAGGCTGTTCAGCCATACAAAGCAGACAAATAAGTGAATAGTGAGTGTCCTGTTGCTCAGCCACTGAATAAAGACAGCCCTGGAGATCTTAGCTGTCGCAGCTTCCTATAACTTTGAAGAAAAGAAATTTGAGAGCTAGGACTTTGCTCCCATGGGCTGTGCAACGCGATCTGGTTGCACCCTTTTGCCATGTCATAGAAAAGTCAAATCCTCTTCCTTACTTTTGGGTCCTAATTAAGCCTTATTTTAAAAGAACAGCTAAAATTACAATTCTGACATTTGACAGGAAAGACTCTGAAGATAAACTTGGCAAATGGTTACTTAAAGTTCTTAGCTAATGAAAGTATTTATTTGTTTTATGGTGTTTGCTGTAATCAGAACACATATACGTTCACACCTCTTTTGAATGCTTGTATTCATTAAATGTCTGCTTAAAATACCTCTTCCTCAGGCTAAGGACTTCCCTCTGCCCCATTTCTGGAGGGAATGTTCATTTAAATGTTACCTTCATAAATCTTTTAAAAATAAATATTTTACATATTTAAGATACACAACATGACATTATCAGATACATATATAGTAAAATGATTACTACGGTGAAACCAATTAACATATTCATCATGCCATCTAGCTACTCACCCACCCCACATCCCCCCACCCTCGCCCCCATGACAAGAGCAGCTATAATCTCCTGAACACTTTTTCTGTTTCTCTTCTTTCTCTCCCTTTCTTCTTTCCTGCTGCCCTCTCTCCCCACTCCCCCCAGCTCTTTTCATGAAGAATGTGAAGAAATAAACCCGGAAATTGAAACACAAATACAGGAAATTCCAGGGTAAGCTTCATATGGGAGAGTTAATATGGTCATCAGGATGTTGCATTTTAGACTCTTCTGATGTATTGACTATACTAGTATAAGGTAACCAGATGTCCTACGTTAGGCAAGACGGTGTCTGAGATTTCAGCTTGTTTTCTCTTGACAATATTTCTCCTCAAATGCTGCTACTAAAGCCACCCTGTTTACTGGCTTATTTTGATTATAGAAATGCTGAAAGCCTCCCTGACAATCCTACTTGTCTTCTGGGGTCCTGGGAAGTGGGCATTTGACCGCATGTTCTCACTTATAGGTGGGAGCTAAACAATGACTACACGTGGTATTAAGGTGGAAAGAATAGACACTGGGGATTCCAGAAGGTGAAAGTGAGGGAAGGAGGCCAGGCTAAAAACTATCTAGTGGGTACTATGTTCATTATTTGGGTTCACTAGAAGCCCAACCCCCAATATCATCCAACATACCCATGTGACAAACCTGCACATGTACCCTCTGAATCTTAAGAATAAAAGAGAAAGAGAGAGGACACACAGATTTCCATTAAATATTTCAACTTTTCTGTGTGGCTGAAATTTTTCATTCAAATTAAAAAATAATAGGAAGAAAAAGAAAGTGGATATTTGATCTGAGATGAGCTACGATAGTACTCAAAAGGCAGCAGCAGAGAACTCAATCATTCACTAGCTGGACCAGTCATTGCCATCTAGCAGAGAACAAGTCCGTAGCCAAGGGCCTTCCTTTCTAGTGGCAGAGGTAAAGAAAGGTGCTTTGCTTGAGCATCATGAGGATTCTTTGCTTTACCAAACTTTAGTCAGGTTCCTGGACCTTCTCCTAGGCCCATCTGTGCACCTCCTTGTAAAATCCAGTTTTAGAAAGTCCCTGCTAAGTTTGTTTAGTCGGGATCCCCCATCCTCTGTATCAGATCATTCTTTATTTTATTTTATTTTATTTTATTTTATTTTATTTTATTTATTTATTTATTTTTTGAGATGGAGTCACCCAGGCTGGAGTGCAGTGGTGTGATCTCAGCTCACTGTGACCTCCACCTTCTGGGAGTCAGGCGATTCTCCTGCCTCAGCCTCCCGAGTAGCTGGGACTACAAGCACGCACAATCATGCCCAGCTAATTTTTTTTTTTTTTTTTTTTTGAGACGGAGTCTGGCTCTGTCACCCAGGCTGGAGTGCAGTGGCACAATCTCGGCTCATTGCAAGCTCCGCCTCCTGGGTTCACGCCATTCTCCTGCCTCAGCCTCCCGAGTAGCTGGGAGTACAGGTGCCCGCCACTACGCCCAGCTAATTTTTTGTATTTTTATTAGAGACGGGGTTTCACCGTGTTAGCCAGGATAGTCTTGATCTCCTGACCTTGTGATCCACCCGCCTCGGCCTCCCAAAGTGCTGGGATTACAGGTGTGAGCCACCGTGCCCGGCCTTTTTTTTTTTTTTTTTAGTAGTGACGGGCAGGCTGGTCTCGAACTCCTGACCTCAAGTGATCCGCCTGCCTCGGCCTCTCAAAGTATTGGGATTACAGGCATGGGCCACTACACCTCGCCAATATCAGATCATTCTTGATATCTTATCAGGTTCTTCCTTCTCCACCACTCCCCAAGTGATGTCTGATCTCCCTGGTCTTCAGCAAGAATCCATTTAGGATGGTTTAGTAAGAAACTCCAATACCCACAATGTTTCCTTTATCCACTGACCCTCACCCTGCTCCTTGGCTATAAAGTCCCACTTGCCCATGCTGTATTTGGAATTTAATCTAGTTTTGTACTGAGGTCTCTTTTCACCTATTACAATAGTCCTGCAAAAATTTGGTTTTACTGTTTTAACTGCTGTCCAGCTATAGTTTTTCTTTGAACCAGCATTGATGCAAGCAGCACCTGGAGACAGGAGAAGAGGGAGGCTAGTAAGAAGGAAGTAATTATCTTAAGGATCAGTGAAGTAGTAAAAGCCGAAGGCTACCTGGACACACTTGACATTTCCCCTGCCCTATTGTTCTCAGAAAATTCTGTCTCTAGCTTCATTTCCTGGTCTTACTTTCACCCCCACTTTAAATTATATCTATCTATCTATCTATCTATCTATCTATCTATCTATCTATCTATATATATGTACTTATATATATATATATGTGTGTGTGTATTTTGTTGCTTTTTTTTGAGATGAAGTCTTTCTCTGTTGCCCAGGCTGGAGTGCAGTGGCACGATCTCGGCTCACTGCAACCTCCGCCTCCCGGGTTCAAGCAATTCTCCTGCCTCAGCCTCCCGGGTAGCTGGGATTACAGGTGCCTGCCACCACGCCTGGCTAATTTTTGTATTTTTAGTAGAGACAGGGTTTCACCATGTTGGCCAGGCTGGTCTCGAACTCCTGACCTCAGGTGTTCCACCCACCTGGGCCTCCCAAAGTGCTGAGATTACGGGTGTGAGCCACCACACCTGGCCTGTATTTTTTTATTTTTATTTTTATTTTTTGAGATGAAATGTCTTCTGTGGCCCAGGCTGGAGTGCAGTGGCACTCCAGTAACATCAGTAGGGATAGCATCAGGTTCAGGAGGCTGAGAAAGAGACTCAGATCCAGCAAACAGGACATGGGGTCTTATTGAAGGAAACTTACACATAGAGCTGGTCCAGTGGCAGTGAGCTGTACAGGAGAACTGCAACCACTTGCAAGAAGCATGTGGTTTATATGACATTTCACTTAGCACCCTCTCCCTAACAACCTCCACCTGGCAGCCTTCATTTAACCCAAAACAAAGGGGCTTGATTCCTCGAGTGGCCCGTGTTCCAAGGGAACAGGCCAGAAACTCAGGTGTTCTTCATAGATAAGGAATGAATCTTGGTGTTGGCTACTCCTAGGTTCCACAGTTTGGAATTCTGAACGTATATACATTCAGGTGCATCTACCAAACAGGGTCATTCTCAGGATTTGATTAAGATTTTGCTATCGGGTATGTCTACTATACATGATCATAGCTTACTGCAGCCTCTAACTCCTGGGGTCAACAGATCTTCCTGCCTCAGCCTCCCTAGTAGCTGGGACAACAGGCAGGTGCCACCACACTCAGCTGATTAAAATTTTTTATTGTTGTTTGTTTTGTTTTAGAAGTAGAGTCTCACTATGTTGCCCAAACTGGTCTTGAACTCATGGCATCAAGCAATCCTCCTGCTTCAGTCTCCTAAGTAGCTAGGATTACAGTCTCCAACCACTGTACCAGGCATCCACGCACCTCTATAAAAATTCGTTTACTTTTGTTGCTCAAGATAATACTTATTTGTGAATCCAGTGGGCATTTATTCCTCTAATTTCCACAACCAGGGGAAAAGCCTATCAACTTGACTTGATTGATTCTCTGTTATCTGACAATGCCCATTTCCTGATTTTACACATCAGATGGATTTCTTAACCCAGAGCATTATCAACCTATCAGTGAAGATGCATCCCACATCTGTGCTGAGTCTCTATATTTGAAATCACATCTGAAATATATGTTGATTTTCTGCTAGTGATGAAATCCTACATTTAAATTTGTGCCACCCCATAGTTATATAAGTAAATAGAGTCTGGTCAGAGTATGTGGAGTATCCAAGCCTTCCATGAGCTGATCCACTCATGTTTCTAGTCTGACCTTCTGTCATTCATTACCTGCCACACCCAAACCTGAGCTCCTAGCATGCGCACAGTTGAATCATCAGGCACACTTTGCAGCTTCCTATTTGTCTGTCTCTGTACAGGCTTTTCCTTCTGGCTGGAATGGACTCCTCTCGACTTCCCTTTTCTCACCTCTGCTTGAAATATGTGCACCTTTTCATAATGGTAAGACAAAGTATGGTTTTTATTTTAGAACTAGATAGAATTATGCTAAATATTATGTAGTAAAATAAATAGGTAGGAGGTGCCAGAAAATTTTTGCAAAAGAATAGTAATACAGCAGTGGCAGGAGGTAGCCTAGTAGATATTAATAGTACTATCAGATATTCATAAAAATAAATCAATTAAAGTAAATATTTTTTAGGTTTAGAAAAGTAAATGTGGATAAACAGAGACATATTGTAATCATGGATATAAAAAATAATCATAAAATTGTGAATTCTTCCAAAATTAATCTGTAGGTTAAATACTACTTATATCATAATTTCAAGACTTTTTAATACAAACTGACAAGCTGAACCTGGTATGAAGGGAAAATATTAAAGAATCAATATTTTTTAAAAAAGAAGTAAACAAAGGGGGTGCTTGCCTTGCAGTATTCCAAAACATATAAAGAGTTACTAGTTATTACAACAGTTTGGGGCTAGACAAATAGGATCGGCGGGATGCAACAGAATCCCAGAAATGGACCATGTGTAAATCAAAATTTGGTATATGATAAATGTAGTCTTTCAAATTCATAGGAAAAATTATGGAACAACTCTTTATTTTGAAAAAAATTTCTTTCTACTTCCCACCATTAAAGAATACAAGTCAAGTGTATTAAAAACCTGCCAGAAGAAAATGTGGAATAGTATCTTTCATGCCTTAAGATGAGGAAGTCTTTTATTAAAACATCAATTTAAATGCCATGCCAAAATAGACCATAAACAAAATTTTAAAAACAAGTGAAAGACTGGAAAAGTACATGTACCACATATAACAAAAGATTGGTATCTATATTGGGTGTGTTAGAAACCCCTAAAATTCAGTAAGAAAATGACTAATCAATAGAACAGCAGGAAGGTATATAAATAGTCAATGCATAGAAAAGAAAGTACAGATAGATAATAATGTATATTAAAATGTAGTTCATTAATAGTAAAAAAAAAACACATAAAAATTAGGTGCTATTTTTAAACCACCAGATCAGCAAGCTTAAATATTTGCTAATAGCATATTTTGACCAGGTTGTGGGCAAATAGGCACTCACACCGACCTGAGAGAGCAATATGACCTCATCTATTAACATTTAAAATGCACATAACCTTTGAGCCACCAGCTTGGCTTCACAGTAGACATCAGAGAAATTTGCTCAAAGAAGCATTTGCAAAGATAGTCACTGAATGGTTGTGTGAAAGAAAAGAAATTCATTTTGTTTCATCAGTAGGGGATTTTAGAAATGTAAAGGAACTGTGGAATCCTGTTTAGCTGTTTGAAAGAATGTGGTCGCTGTATGTGTAAGACATACAAATACAGTTACGATATGTCATTGAGTGAGAAGAGTACATTTAAGTAAGAATAAATAATATGATATAATATTTGCTTAAACTGAATATATATTTTCTGTGGTTTTATATTTATATGCAAATGTTTAAGGAAAAGTTTGGAAGGATCTACACCAAACTGGTAACAGCGGCTCTGTCTTGGACCAGAAGTTAGGTGGTACGAGGGAGTTCAGCTTCATTAAAATCAGTCCTCTCTTCCTTTTTCCCCCCTTCCCTCCCCTCCCCCCTTCCCTCCCCTCCCTTCCCCTTTCCTTCTTTGTTTTCATGTATTACTTAATTAAAAACTATATTAGGCCTGGTGTGGTGGCTTACGCCTGTAATCCCAGCACTTTGGGAGGCCCAGGCGGGCAGATTACTTAAGCCAGGAGTTCAAGATCCCTTGGCCAACATGGTGAAAACCCGTCTCTACTGACAAAAAAAAAAAAAAAAAAAAAAAAAAAAAAACAAAGCTGGGCATGGTGGCGGGTGCCTGTAATCCTGAGGCATGAGAATCATTTCAACCTGGGAGGCAGAGGCTGCAGTGAGCTGAATCTCACCACTGCGTTCCAGCCTAGGTGAAAGAGTGAGACTATGTCTCAGAAAAAAAAAATGTTAAAATTTAATTATTATATATTTTGTTGTAACAAATTCTTTTTGGAGTAATAAATGTTATGGAAATAATCAGAAGTATATGCATTTCTATGTAAGAATGTTTATCACAGCATTATTGATTAAAACACAAAGTTGGAAACAATCTAAGTGTTTAACAGTATGGATACCACCTGGTATTCTCTTCTCAAATATCAAATAGAGGCCAGGCACAGTGGCTCACATGCCTGTAATCCCTTTAAGCACTTTGGGAGGCCGAGGTGGGCGGATCACTTGAGGTCAGGAGGTCGAGACCAGCGTGGCCAACATGGTGTACCCTGTCTCTACTAAAAATACAAAAATTTGCTGGGTGTGGTGGCGCATGTCTGTAATTCCAACTACTTGAGAGGCTGAGGCATGAGAATCCCCTGAACCCAAGAGGCGGAGGTTGCAGTGATCCGAGATTGCCACACTGTACTCCAGCCTGGGCAATAGAGTGAGACTCTCTCTCTCTCTCTCTCTCTCTCTCTCTCTCACATACACACACACACACACACACACACACACACACACAAATAGTTTCCTATTCAAATAGAGCTCTGTTTTTTTCCCTTTCAAGGAAACACTTTACTATCTGATTAAGAAGTCCAAGTTAAGAAACTACTAAATGACAATGGGAAGTGTGCTTTGATTTCCCTAGAGTATTTGTATTTTAACAGATATTTGGAGTGAAGTTCTCTCCAAAGAAGGAATATCTAACGGTCAGGATTTTAGAAATGGAAAATGTATTAAGGCGAGCCAGACTTTAGGAAATTCTTCACATGCTACTTTGTAATCAATGTTCTACTTTTCAGATATGGCTGAAGGTCTCAATTCCTAATAAATTCCATTGTCAAAGACTAAGAATCTATGCCATAAGGGACTAGCTGAAGGCACAGGGTACGTCTAGTCTAGAAATGAGACGTTTGGAGTAGACTGGGTAGCTGTCTTTAAATGTTGTAGGGCTGACATGTAGAAGGTGGATGTATCCTGTGTTTGCTCCATGTAGTCAATACTGGGGGATCAGTGAGTAAACATTAGAGGAGGCATTTTATAACTTTTATAGGCAAAATTTCCCGAATAGTGCTGATAATACAATGGATTCCCTGGAAAAGCAGTGTTACTCCTACTTTTTGAAGTACTAGTAGATTTTGGATGAAGATTCACTAGGGATGAAGTAGACTGGATTCCTGAATTGTGTGAGTAGTGGGAGTGGACATCTCTATCGTTGTGTTCGAATATTTGCATTATGAAAACATGCAGTGAGCACTTACTATTTGCTTAGCACTGTGCTCAGTACTAAGAAAATACACAGATAAAGCAAAACAAGGGGTGAGTGGAAGACACCTCTTGTTGGAAGTGTCCATTAAAGAAAAGAAGAGCTGGATGGAGACTGGCTTTTTTTTTTTTTTTTTTTTTGAGACAGAGTCTCACTCTGTTGCCCAGGCTGCATGATCACGGCTCACTGCAGACTTAAACTCCTGGACTCAAGCCGTCCTCCCACTTCAGCCTCTACAGTAGCTAGGACCACAGGCACACACCACTATGCCCAGCTAAGTTTTTTCACTTATTTTTTATTTTTTGTAAAGATGGTGTCTCCATATGTTGCCCAGGCTTCCTTTCAGGACCTTGGTGGAGAAGCCAAATCACTCAATGGCCTTGATTTTATCAAGGGAATGGGCTCTGACTGTAAGACTCAGGATCCTCAGTGAAGGGAACTGAGCTACCCATTGACCTTGATTTCATTAAGGTAGTGGGATTTGACCATAAGACTCTATTGAGTTTGCTTCTTGGTCATGGGTTTGAGCAGGGATTATTTCCTGCTCTGTTCTCATTGTGTGTCCCTGATTCTCACGTTTCTGCAGCACTGCCTCTGGCACTAGGCTATGATGCATTTGTGATGCTTTATCTTTACATGTTTTACTTATTCTTGCTGCTCAGTCCAAGGGGACAAAACTGTCTCTTTTGGCAAAGCTGTGTTTTATGTTTTCCTTGATATTAGTTGTCATATGTATTGGCACGTCAACTTGGTAGAAGCCCCAGAGATTTACAAAGTCCTTTCAGGATCTATTTGAACTGGGACTTCTCTATAGCCCTGCCCTGGCAGGAGACGCCAGTAAAGAACCTTATACAGTTTGTCTATTAGGGAATCTTCCTGTGAGATTGTGGTGGCTGCCATGCCCCATGTCCTCACAGGAAGATTTTAATTTGAGAAAAACTAACACTAACTTGAAAATTAGATATTTTGGGGAAGCTTGGACATGAGATATTGCCACATGGTTAAGGTCATGCCACGTATTTTCTGTTAAGATTATTGTTACATCTCTGAGGGGAATTTATGCTTTCAAAAGTGAGTTTTTTCGAAATGGAAATGTGGAAAATCCATTTTTTCCCTTCTTTTACCTTACAGTTCTTTGTGGCCAAATGAGTGCTTTTGGGAGCATTTGGTGTAGCTCATATAAACACACACACAGGTATAGACATACATATATATTTATATATGTATATAAATTTATGTACATAAATATCACCGCAGAAAGGCCTGCAAAGAACAATCATTTATATATGTACATAAATGAATTATATACATATGTATATGTCTATATGCCTATGTATACATCTATAATTTATGTATATATACACAAATTATACATTATATACATATATGTGTATAATTGAATTACACATATATTGAATTCATATATGTGTATATTAAATTTACATGTGTATAATTTATGTATACATATAAATTATATATAACATATACATACATGTATATGTATATAATTCATTTATATATGTATATAAATTATTATACTTTGTAGACCTTTTTTGGGGTATAAATATTTAGAGCTTTAGTCTTAGGGAATTCAAACAGCTATGGTCTTGTGGTATTAGAAGATTATTCTCAGGCTTCTTACATGTCCTGGTTTTTTGTTCTGTTCTTAAGTTAATCAGGTGGTTGCAATTATTCGGAGAGTATGTGTAGATAGTTGTTCAGTTGGAATAATTGTTGTTGACTGGGCAAGTGGCCATATAGGGATTTCTCCATTGAGAATCTATGTGAACCCTGAAGGCCTTGAGTGTCTGAGCTATGTAGGTAAACGATTGGGATGGGTTTGAACTTTGTCTCTATGATGTATTCTGCCCCAGGCTCTCGGTTCTTGTCACAGTTGAGCACCCTGAATTTTCCAGATAATTGCTTCAATTTCTAACGTTTCTGTTAGTTGATTTTTTGTAAGAAGTGTTAGGTCCTCTCCCGTTTATTCATGGACCTGATTTAAAATGTCAAAAAAGATGCTGTTTAACTTCTGGAGTTGTAAATGCACCCATGAGAGAGATGAGTTACATTGTATTCACTGGAATAGTTAGCATATTAGCACACAAAATAACATCACACGTACATCAATTATATCTAATTTATATCAGGCTCAAGTTATATATTATATCAGAGATGCTTAACTATGGTGAAATTTCAAATGATTTAAATTATTAAAAATGGGCCAATGATTGACAACACAATTGTGAGGAGCCAGTTTCTGTTCAGTGTAAATCGGAAGGCCTGAGATGAGAATAGCTTCCTTCTTGTTTCTTTCTTGGAAGTTTCATGATTGATTTGGTAAAAGTTACAACTTGGGCATGAAAAGATTTTCTTGTGTTTTGGTTTATCATAAACACCCATTACTCTCTCATTTTTACATCAACCGCAGCTTGTTTCTGTTTTGTCATTGTTTCCTCCTATAATTTCATCTCACTTTGCTTGGACTTTTATAATATATAGTACCTATTACTGGATGCTATGTGGAAAGAACATGGACTTTGGTATTGGGGAGATAGAACTTCAAAACCTAGCCCTGCCACTTAATAGCTGACTTGTTGTGTGACCTTTGACAAGTCTCTTAACCTCATTTAAAAATAGCATGTGTAGGCCGGGCGCAGTGGCTCACGCCTGTAATCCCAGCATTTTGGGAGGCCGAGGCGGGCGGATCACGAGGTCAGGAGATCAAGACCATCCTGGCTAACACGGTGAAACCCCATCTCTACTAAAAATACAAAAAATTAGCCAGCCGTGGTGACGGGCACCTGTAGTCCCAGCTACTTGGGAGGCCGAGGCAGGAGAATGGCGTGAACCCGGGAGGCGGAGCTTGCAGTGAGCCTAGATCGCGCCACTGCACTCCAGCCTGGGCGACAGAGCGAGACTCCGTCTCAAAAAAACAAACAAACAAATAAAAAGCATGTGTATTGCAAGAAATTTATGATAATTACAGAAAATTTTATACATGCACTAGTGCACGCACGTGTGCATGTGTGAATGTCCTTGTGCTTACAGTACAATAGTGCTCTGTAAAAGACACATTTATTCAGTGTAGTGTATTAAATTTCTTAATGTGTTCTTTTGTCTTCACCATTGCACTGTAATCTTCAAATGGGCATTAACCATGTATTATTTATTTTGCATTCTCTCCACAGTATTCAAGGTAATTTGTGCAAATTAGGTACTCTTTAAATGTTTGTTTAATTGAAGTTTTGAGTCCTTTTTTTATAAGAACAGGTTTTTTTGTTGTTATTGTTGTTTGGTTGGTTTTTCTTTAGACCTGAAGTCTAAGGTTTACACATGCTGATGCATGTGAACAAATTTTCAAAAAGAAAATACTTTGATGTAATAATATTTTTTCCTTTTCTAAAGGAGGAAAAAATCAATTTTTAACCCCAACATCTCCAGCTTCCTTTTGTGTCTTTTGAGCCAGATCATGGACTAGAAATCAAATGGGTGACAAGAAAATAAAATGTACAGAGCTACCTTGGGGGAAAATTCAACCATCTTAGTACCAGAATGTTTTCAGTTTTTCGGCCTTCCTTCATCTGTAAGTGATTTTATTTCAGAGACCAGGAAGAAGGAAGTTAAAGGTCAAGGGAATCTAGCTCACTGGGGTAGTTTGTACTAATCAGAAGAACACAGAAAGCTGAGGAAAGCTGAAGGTCTTCCTGTCCTGGCTAAGTGCACCATAAGGAAACCGATTTGTCCTACAAAAAAAGGGGTTTAGGATGGGAGTGCATGGAAGATCCCAAGGAGAAATAAATTCAGTTTGAAGTTTTAACAAGGAAAAAGAAATCTGAAATGTAAAGGCCAATAATAATCTGCATCTGCCCCAACATGGTGTTTGGAATTTTTCAACCATGATAAAGAATGATCTAAGCAAGGGTGTTTTTACACCATTCTTCTAATGTTCTTTATTTCTTACTGGTGTCAAGACCTCACTGATGTGAGACAACCATGACAATGACGCGGAGGGTCTGATTCCATATATATGTACAAATAGCAAAATCTCAGCAGTCCTGAGCTTTTCTAACGTATGTATATGTTGACATATAATACAATATGTCATCTATGTTATATATAAATGTGAAAGAAAATTGTTTTAAAAATAGTTTTTTAATTTTCCAGGGCAAATACTCCTCTTCCAAAATATAACTTCTGTAAGACAGAAATGAACAATAGGAGCCAAGAGTAATATATTTCATTCATTTATTATTCATTCAAAAACTATTTTTGAGTGCCGGCTATCTGACAGACACTGTACTAAGGAAGTAGCATTGAACAAGCAGTGCCTTTATAGATCAATAGTTTTGTAGAGGAAAGTGGAAAATAATAAGCATAATAATAATACTTAACAATATAACAACAGCAATAAGATTACATTGTAATCAGTAGTATGATAAAGGAGTCAGAGTTATGCCCAGCATACGTAAGGCTATCTAACAGGGCAAAGATGGAGGCTTTGACTAGAAAAATAAAGTTTTTTTTTTTTCTTTGAAAGCTTTCAAACAGCAGAACATGATCAAATTTGCATTTCGTAAGATCACCTTGAAGGGAATAAATTGGTTAGGCATGAAGTCACATACGATGAAAATAGAACTGTCCCCAGAAGTTTGGTAGGGGTCGTCTAGAAGTTCAAATACTTCTAAGCAGAGTGAAAGCATATCGGGTAGCTCTGGCAATACATTTCAGGAGGGAATATGCACGTGCAGGTCCATATTTGGAAGTAAAGGACGCAGGATGGCCTTGTCAAGGCCTTACTAAACCAAGGTCCTGGAGGGACTTGTGTTCATTGCTAGGCAGGTAGGATGGAGGAGGCTGACCTCACTGGGTGCAAAGTAGTCGGGTGTTAGGAGTTCCCGAATGCTCTCCTCCCTGCCACCAGTGTGCCTCTCCTGCACTCCATGTTTTGATTTGTGATCATTTTAGACCATGACTCAGCACATATGACTCTCTTCTCTCATAGGAGACTTTGCCTTCTGTTTGCTGCTTGGCCTCACAACTTCCCATTCTCTGAGCAGATGTACAAGCCATTTGCCAGTCATAGAAATTTCCCTTTCTAAAATCAATACAACTTTCAAAATGAAGCTGTGGGTTTATTAAGATAATTGCAAATGGTAACATATCTGAGAGAAAATCTTAATAGAAAGTTATTTAGAATACAAGTCAGAAAAAATCAATGTGTTTATTGAGGTAGACATTAGTCTAGACATTAAATACCATTAACAAAATAGTCTCACCTGTTATTTCCACCTAAACTCTATTTTCAAATTTAGGCATGCCTTTTAAACTCTTCCTTATGTTGTCATTGAACCTGGTTAGATGCTGTTATGGTTAGGCTTTGTGTCCCTACTCGAATCTCATCTTGAATTGTAATCCCCAGGTACTGAGGGAGAGACCAGGTGGGAGATGATTGATAATGGGGGCGGTTTCCCCTATGCTGTTCTTGTGATAGAGAGTGAATTCTCATGAGATCTGATGGTTTTATAAATGGTAGTTTTTTCTGTGCTGACACATGCTCTCCCTGGCCTGCCGCCATGTAAGACGCACCTCTTCCCCTTCCGTGCCTCTTCATACTTCATGCATGACCAGAAAGCTGTTGCATGACATCATGCCTCATCCTCTGTATACAGATAGTGGACAAATAATATAAAGGGAGCAAAAAGCCACTTCTTTCCAGGAATATTCTAGTCCTTCAAATTGAAAGTGATGATCAAATGAAATGAGTTACTTCTAGTCTTTAAATGGAACAGAATTTAGACATTATGAAATTTAACTCTAGATGTTAAGGCAGACTTTGGATTCATCATGGAGAATATACCAAATGCTTAAAAGATTCTTACTTTGCTTATAGCTTTGGATGATCTTTGATACTGAGAATCACAAAGAATTATACTCTAAGTAATCACAGATGTACTGTGAGAGAATGGTTTCTTATACACACTGATACAGTTAGATTTGACTTTTAATTTTTCTTTTGGTACAATATATACCATAGTAATGTAATCAGATTCTAAACTCTAATTTTACTTGCTAAGTTTCCATATTTATTTTGTTGATAACTGATGCATGATTTATGAACATGTGTGCTTTTCTATTATGTGTTCATATTTCACTTCCTTAGAGTTTTACTGTTATTTCCTACAGTAAAGGAGCTACTTTTTTTAAAAAAAACTAAATTATATTTCATATATTTAGGATAGTTTATTTCCTTTGATACTCATTTATAATTAATGAAGCAAAGTTTAAAATTTTTAATGGGATAACGTTTGAAATTAATAGTGTTTTGAAAAGTAGAGATGTAAAAATCCTTGGCAAGAGTTTTTATCTCATATAGACTGAATGAATTATTAAAAGCGAACTTCTACCTAAATCTAAACCTTATTTTCTTCATTATATTGATTTTCTTGTTCCATGAAAACCTATCAAGTTTTCTAGAAAGTTTATGGTAATATTTTTGTGTTCTTTAGTCATAACTTATTTTCATGTAATACATGTAATATATAGGTTTTTGGGGATAATTTTCAGTAGTCTTTCTAGATTACAAAATGGATACCTATGGAAACATAAATGTATATAATTTTGAATATAAAACCATTTGTAGAATGTAATAGGAACACATTCAAAGCAAACCTGCATCACAATCTTTTGCAAAGTAGAGAATATTCATACCATGAATACTGACCATCTATTATATCTCTCTGGATTCTGCTACTTTATGATTTTCATAAACACGACTATTTTCCTTCATGTGAAGACTAAAGATAAAATGCCTCTCTCCCTGATCAAACTTCTTCACACTGTTCTCCAGTAGCATCTTTTCCCACTTCAACATCTGGTAAAGCAGCCTAAAGACAAGAAAGTATTTCCTGCAGGGAATGCAATTTTTGGCCTTCTTGGTAAGGAGGACTTCAAATGAAACCAGACCTGGCTATGAGCTACCCATCCATCTTAATATTGCCTGGACTGAATTCACTTGGGGTAATCCTTACTTTCATTTGCAAAGGAATTGTAATCTGCTGTACTTTATTTGTGGTTTTTGAGAATAGCTTTTCTGTCTTCTATACTCTTCCTTAATATTACTTCCTCTGAGCCAGCCTGTCTAGCCTGGTTCTGAGTATAAATAGCTCCAAGTGTGGAGCACTAATGCCCTGCTATTGCTGGGTTATGTGAAACCCTTTTTTTGTGTTGAACACAAGAAGCCCATGATTATTCCTACCACAGATTCTCACATTCTTAATCAGTTCCACCTGGCCAATAAACAGTAACGCCAGGACAGCTTCTCTTCTGTGTGGGTTTTCTACTTTATGGGTAATAAAACTGTCCTTGGTGTTATTTAGGAATCCCTTTGATGCCTACTAGTTTACTGTATTGATATTTCAGGGGTATTGGCAGTCGCTGGTGAGCCTTCATTACTGGCATCCCTGAACTGTGGCAATGAAGTAGTTTGGGTAAATAATGGCGGGGTGGGGAACACAGCTGGTAAAGCTTTTTTTTTTTTTTGTACTTACATGTATCAAGGAAAAATTTAGAAGTGGCCTTATGGAAACAAGCAAGGCTAAGAAATGGTTAGATTTCTTTCAAACCTACAGGAAGGAAGTAAGGAAAGAAAGAAAGAGAGAAAAAGGAGAGAGAAGATGCAATGTAATTTTTTGAACTTGTAAACACCTCACATTGTTTATTTGCAATGGTATTTTGTTAAAATCGTTACTAGATACCAAGCTCCTAGTCTGCAAGTTAAAAAGATGAAGCTGGGCTAATTCTCAGCTTCTTTGTATTGAATTAGCTAGTAAAAATGCTCTCTGCAGATGTTAGGGAAGAGAGGGTATTAAGGGCATTCTTTGTCATCACTTTTCTAGTTCCAAGTTTGAGTTCCATTTTCAGTACATGGTTTCAGTAACGTGTAAATGTTTCTTGAAAGGTGGCTTATATTTTTATTTTTATTATTAATGTTTTTTTTAACCAACCGGTGTAGGATATTTGAAATGGGAAAGACTACATGGTAATAGAAAATGAACTCATGTTAGATCAAAAGAAACAAATAACCGATGCATCCAAGAAAAGTAAATGCTTTGTGAACTTGAAGAGCTCTTGTTGGATGGCACTATTTATTTTGAACAAATTATTTTAACCACATTAACTGTTAAAATGGGGACTCCTTTGGGCTTTGAAACAGCTTTTGATATAGTGCCTTTCTTTGTATTAGTATTACTTATTCTTACCTTAATTAATTATTGCGGTCACTTCTTGAATGGAATAAATGCCATCAGCCTTGTCATTACTATCACCATCATATTTTTATCATAAACAATATTAACTGGCTACAGTGTAAAGAGTTTCGAGTGTGTTTTATAATATACAAGAGAGACCTCTCCTGTCAGTGCCTAGTGCCCAAATGTCGTTTATCAAATGTATGATTACTGTTGGCATCATTATGTATACTTTTAAAGATTCAAGTTTTTCTTTGAAAGTACTTTTCCCCCTGCTTTTAAAAAATATTTCTATAGGTTTTTAAAATGTTAATCAGGAGAGATAAAGCCATTTTGCAGATGGTGAAATAAACTACTTGAGATAGCACAGTACATTAATATGAGCAGAATGTGTATGTGGGTGTTCATGTGTGTGCATGTGTTTAAGCTCATCCATTCAACGAATATGGACCCAGCATCGATTATACATGTGCTCGGTGCTGTAATAGTTGCTGGAATACAAAAATGAATAATACAGAGTTACCATCCTTGAGAATCATATAGTGTCATGGGGTGATAGATTTTCAAAACAAGTAATTACAATAAAAATGATAGTACTGTAATAGAGGCCAACTGTGCCTGGAGGAATTGAGAAAGACTCTCTGAAGAGGTAACGTTTGAATGGAGCTTTGAGTGTTGAACTAGGGTTTGGCAAGAGTAGAGCAGAGAAGAATGTTGCAGTTAAATGGAGAAGTTGAAGAGATTTTGAGGATTAAGAGCACATGATCTGTCTGGAAATAACTGGAGTACAGATAATAAAAACAAGAAATAAGTTCTTGTATGCTATTGCATAGCAGCATGACTATAGTTAACAATATTGTATTGTATATTTTAAAATAGCTGTAAGAGACAATTTTGCATGTTCTCATTGCAAAGAAATGATAAGTGTCAGAGGTGATGGATATGCTACATACCCTGATTGGATTATTACACAATGTATACATGTTTCAAAACATCACACTTTGCCTCATACATATGTACAAATATTAAGTATCAATTAAAAATATTTTAAAAGAAAAAAAGTAAATATGGCAAAATGTTAAAAAAAAATTCACAACCCTACCTCCAGCAAATTTTCTGCAGTTATTATTCTGGTATTTATTTTTGGTTGATTTTCTCCTAAGACTAGTTCAGAGAGCTATAGAGTCTAACTAATTTTTAGTTCAATCTCTCTCTTTTTTACATATGAACACTAGGTTTCATCTGTTAGCAACTTTTTGAAGCTAAACACGTTGTATACTAAAATATATTTAGTGTGTTTTTCCACTTCTTGTTTCAAGATGAGAATATTATCAGCGTTCTTTAGGAAATTTCCCATACCACTTCACGGCTCTCCTTTAGACCTTAAAATACCTAGTATTTTCAGTCCCTCCCACCTCCAATATTTCTGTTTTAGAATTTCACTTGTCCTTTATTTATACTGGTAGTGTTCAAAGGAAGTTTTTTTTTATGACATTCTTATATGAAACTCCAGTATAGAAATCAGATTAAAATTTTTTTATACAAAGATGTATATTGAGTTCAAATTCATATAATATGCTTATTATAAATCTGTTAATAAGAACAATGAAATTACTTTGATTAGCACAAAAATTTAAAAGGTATATTAGAGAAGATAGTTGTAACCTTATATCAACTGTAGCATCAAATTGATTTCTGTATTATTTGGTTTCACAATATTGAGAAAATCCTGATTCACACATTAAAGTGGTTACAAATGGTAGCAGTGTTTTTTGTTTCCTCATTTGTTTTTATTTTATTTTTAATTTTTGTCTGTACATAGTAGGTATATATACTTATTGGATACATGTGATGTTTTGATACAGGCATACAATGTACAATAGTCTTATCAGGGTGAATGAGGTACCCATCACCTCAAGCATTTATCATTTCTTTGTGTTAGAAATATTCCAATTCTATTTTCTTTTTTTTAATGTGCAATAAATTATTGCTGACTATAGTCCACCCTGATGTGCTATCAAATACTAGATCATATTCATTCTATCTAACTATATTTTTGCACCCATTAACCATCTCCACAACCCACCCCAACCCTTTTTAAAACAACCTGCCTTGAAGTTTCAAGATACTCTTCATCTAAAATGATCCAGAAACTCAGAAAAGTTGCTGGAATTTTTTGTCCAAGATGATGCAGCAAAATCTAATATGTGAACCTATTTTCATTGTTAAATATTCAGCTGAGAGGTGGTTAATGTATTTCTTTTCTTTCTTTCTTTTTTTTTTTTTTTGTTTTTTTTTTGAGACAGAGTCTCACTCCATCACCCAGGCTGGAGTGCAGTGGGAGGATCTTGGCTCAATGCAACCTCTGCCTCCCAGCTCAATTGATTCTCTTCCCTCAGCTTCCTGAGTAGCTGGGACTACAGGTGTGCACTACCTTGCCCCGCCTTTTTTTGTATTTTTAGTAGAGATGGGGTTTCACCATGTTGGCCAGGCTGGTCTCGAACTCCTTCACCTCAGGTGATCCACCCGCCTCTGCCTCCCAAAGTGCTGGTATTGCAGGTGTGAGCCACCGTGCCCAGCCTGGTTAATATGTTTCTTAGCCAGCCTAAATTGTCATTGTTGCCTGGAAAAATACTCTTTCAAATGAATTTCTTGTAATGGGAGGTTTGATAATAAAATAATATATATGAACTAAAAACAATGTAATTTCTTCTTCTCTCTAATTTTTACTTACTAGTGTCTCTGGTAAAAGGGTTTATGCGGGAGCAAGTTGGTTGACACTTGTCATCAGTCTGCCACAACTTGTAGATAGTTGAAAGTATGTTAGAAGAGAGGAGTGAAAAATGCAGCAATTCTAAACCAGAATGGCAGGGTCTCCATGGAGGGCCTCATGACCACATACCTCATTCTTCCAGAATTATTATATCTGCTCATATGAGTTCTCTGTGCATCCTTGCATTTATTAATAATGTATACTTAGTCTTTTAAAAAAGTACTTGAAATCATAAAGATTTTGATAGCTTGATACTATTTGATCACAATGAACATAGGGAATTTCTTACAATTATATAAAGTCAACATTTCTAGCTGGTTTTAAATAAGAAAATAACCTAGGCATTGATAAAATTGACTTTCAGTAAATCTGAAGTGTGAGGGGGAAATATTTTATCATGGTGTTTGTCTCTGTGAGTTAATATTTATAATACTTTTTCTCATTTATTTTTCAATGGAGATAAAATTTATGCAAACACTAATAAATCAGTGTCATCCTAATTGAAACTTGGCAAGTGAGAGACACTCGGTTACCTGTCCTACGTTATGCACGCCCACCCTTTCATACTTGGGGCAGATGAAAAGGGGAAATGTCAAGATATCACTTGAAAAATGCATTTTTAAAAGTTAAATTAACAAAAAGTAAGACTTACAATTTAGGAAGTGATGGGGGGTACCACTGATGAATACTTTGCTGCACTGTATTTCAGCAATGCAGTCCAGCATTGAAGGTCTCTTTTATTTCATAAAGAAGTATACTTTTCTGTAGAAAATTTAAATATTTTAACCTGCAATGCATTACAGGGGAAATTATTTATGAAACCACAAAAACAAAAGGTATTTATTCTACCATGGAAATATACATTTAAAAAAATGTCCATCTATAGTTATTTCAGTCCTTCAATGTAGTATGGACATATTTTTGAGGCTATGTCTGGGCACACAAGCTTTTAATGTAACTCAGTTAAAAGTAAATTTATTAAAGATGTAATTTGTGGGATTATGTATGCTATGAAACCTGGTCTGCTTTAATTATGACAATTTCTTTATCCATTGATGGGCACTTGGGTTGATTCCATATTTTGGCTATTGTGAATAGTGCTGCAATAAACATGAGAGTGCAGACATCTCTTTGATGTATTGATTTCCTTTCTGCTGGATATATACCCAGTAGTGAAATTGCCAGATCGTAAGGAACTTCTTTTAGTTTTTTGAGGAGCCTCAATACTGTTCTCCAGAGACTATACTAATTTGCATTCCCACCAATGGTGTATGAGGCTTCCCCTTTTCACAGTGATTTCTAAGGACTTTACCTTTACATATGGGACCAGAGTATGAACATTTTGAACACCATATGAGGTGATATGGAGATTCAAGGCTCCAGTCCCTGAGTAGCACTCAGTTGTCCCTCAAAGCCACCAACACCGGAAAGAACTAGTCAACATATTCCTGGAAGTGACTCCCTTGGTCAGTAGCTGCTAAATGATCTTGGGCAAGCCATTTCTCCTTTTTCACATATGTGATTTTTAATGTCCTTTTAAGCTAAAAAGCATTACCTCCATTCTAAGGAGGTAATGCTTGCTATCTTTTTGAAAGCGCAGTACTTTCAGAGGATAATCATTAAGATGTGGTGATTCTCATCTTAAACAGTACAACAAAGTGTATATTTCTTGAGCCCTCATTTATATATAATAATGGTGTAAATGGTGTTTATTAAACTAATGGGTAAATGGTGTTTATTAAACTATGTTGACATTTGTTAAACTCCCCATGTTAAGGCTGAGAGAGCCTGGGAACCAATGAATAAGAATTCCAAAAAAATCACATCACATTATGCCATTTTCTCTGAATTTTCTCTTTTTCACAGAATCCTATTTGTTAAAACCCTAGCTTCATGCTATTCTTTCTCAGTTGTCCACCATTTCAGATTCATTGTATTCATTAGGCATGACAGGCACATAGCTTAGGTCCTAGTAGCTTTTTAAAGGTCCTTTGGAAATATTTGAGCCCTGAAAACAAATGATGTCTTCCAAAGTCCAAAAATAAAACCATAAAACCAGCATTGATAAATGTTTAATGAAATGCCTACAAAATATAATATTAAGTCAACTTCATTAATTGTTAAAATTAGTATTCATAAAATTTTCATAATATTTGGAAATAAACTGTAATTTAGATTTCTCTTTTTGTAAGAATTTCTGAGTATGCAAAATGATTATCATAAAATTATAACCAATTGTAAATTCAGTGAGATGCTTAGCCAAAGAATTTCAAGAGCAAAGTTACAGGAAATCCTTTCATAATTTTGTACTAAAAAATTGAATTTATATGTAATCTGTGAAAACTTTAATACGTTGTTTATTAGGTATAAAAATCAAATAACAATCACTAACATTTATCAGATGTTCATTATGTGCCAAATATTATTCTAAGATCTTGTTCATTATGAATGTGCTATTGATTTTTTTCTCTCTCCCTCTACTCCATATCTAATCAATCTCCAGCCAGACATTTCACTTGTATTTTTTCCTTAAATCCATCCGATTACTTTTCTCTCCATTGACACCTGCCCGTCCTCCAACTCAGAATCCCAGTATCTTTTGACTAAACTACTTCAAAAGTCCTCCTGCATCCCCTCCTGTCTCCAGTGGTAGAGTAAACCTATAAAAGGGAAATTCTGCTTTAAGCCTTTTCATGGCTCCAATTACTATTATGATAAAGTATGAAATCCTAAACATGACCTCAAGTCTCACCCTTTTGCAACCAGTCTGTTTTCAGGGGCCCCTCTTTATGCTATACCCAGAGAAATTGAACATCCTCCATAGCCTCCTGCCTCAGGGACAGGACAGGAGCCCCGAGGTTTGCGCAGGGCGGGTGTGTCTCATACAGGGAGGCACTGGCAGTAGAGTAAGACCCATATGAATCTGAGGCTACTGTCAAAAGGAGGGCATGAGTTCCCACTGGGAGGGAAAGGAAGGAACACTTATTGAGGCATGGCAACACTTGCAGGGCCTGGCTAGGTGTTGGACATGCACCGTCTCATTGAATACTCCTAACAGCCTGTGAGGTTGATCTTATGATTGTGTGCACAGATGAGATGTGCAGGGCAGCACAGCTAGTGAAAATTAGACTTGGAATTTGAAACTTGACTCTCAAGCCAGTGTTTTTCCACGCACCATGCTGTTCTGCCTTGTTGTTTCATCACTGTTATAACCCCAGTCTACCACAGAGTCTCAAGACAAGGAGTATCTACCCAATAAATGTTGGGTGAATTTGGAATGTCAGAGTAAGTCACCTTTAGTCTAGGGGCTTTTCCTTTGAAGAAAAACACTGTTTTCATCCTGGGAGTTGAAACAGGTTTTGCAGAGGCTTTGTGACCTTATCCATCTATCTATGTATATATCTATGTATCTGTGTATCTCTCTATCTATCTATCTATCATCTATCTATCTATCTATCTATCTATCTATTTATGTATAGGTAACTATATTCTAGAGGTTTGAGACCATACTAGTAGGATACTGTTATGGATACAACACACACACACACACACACACACACACACACACACACACATATGAGATATTAGAAATATATCATATTAAATATATATCTGATATATGTATCATATATATCTTATATATGTATCTCAGATATATATCTGATACATATGTAATATCTGATATAAAATCATATACATCATATATGAAACATATAATGATATATATAATATAGATGTATATATTATATATGTATAATATGTATATATACATATATTATATGTATTATGTATATATGTGTATATATTGTGTATATATACAATATATAGATGTATATTATATATAGATGTATCCATAACAGTATCCTACTAGAATGTATATATATAACATATCCTACTAATATATACACACATACACAGACACACACACACACACACACATATATGAGATATTAGAAATATATCATATTAAATATATATCTGATATATGTATCATATATATCTTATATATGTATCTCAGATATATATCTGATACATATGTGATATCTGATATAAAATCATATACATCATATATGAAACATATGATAATGATATATATAATATAGATGTATATATTATATATGTATAATATGTATATATACATATATTATATGTATTATGTATATATGTGTATATATTGTGTATATATACAATATATAGATGTATATTATATATAGATGTATCCATAACAGTATCCTACTAGAATGTATATATATAACATATCCTACTAATATATACACACATACACAGACAGACACACACACACACACACACACATATTTCCAGCATGTCTGTTATGAAGTGTTTACTCAGAAGTAAAATTTAGCAGTTTTTCAAATATGATGACATAGTATTGCAGTGGCTTTTAAAAAGTACCTGGGTACATTGTTTAGTTTAGTTTTTATTAGCATGTATATATAAATATTTTAAAATGTTCTCTCGAGCGGGCAGGTAAGCACTTGGAGGCTTGCCTGGCAGCAGCTTACCAGCAGCCAATGGATTTCTCATGCCAAAAGCTCCTTCTTTCAGCAAAGGAACAGATGAGCGTCCAGATGATAGCCACATGTGTGAGAGGCGGATGTCAGCCTCCATCAAAGTTCCTCAGAAGCTCACCCATCATTGTAGCTTTCTTTGTTGCTTTCTGTATATGTGGTTTAAAAAATCTTTTTAAAGATGTAACAAAGACTTATGACACTTTTAGATCAGTTCTTTGACTTACAATAGAAACCAGTGATGGCTTCAAACGGTCATCCCCAGCATTGTTTCCTGATTGTTAAAGTTAACAACTAGGAATATTTATTTGTGTAAGCGAGTATTTTCTCCCTATAGAAAGTCTTCAATACAGACCTTTGATTATATTTTATTCCCAATAAATTATAATTTAGAACATAAAATATTTTAGATGAGACATGGGACAGGAGGAGGGGTGTGGCTACCCGGGAGGTGAGTATAGGCACTTACCTGGTCTAAAGAGAAGACATCGGGGATCTGCACTTTGATTCTGGTTCCTGGACTTTACCTATCCCACCTAAATCAGGTTCTGCTAGAACCCCTAGCTCACTAGAGATGGTGGCTGCTAAAAACTGTACTACCCTGAGATGTGTGAGAATAGTCGAATGGAAACTGTGATGTTCTCTAAGTGAATGCATGTTTGTTGGAGGTAATGCGGAGCAGGGAATGGGATTCCCAGGAATATGGACCTGGATAGAGGCATCTTATTCTGCTGTTTTCTAGCATGTGACCTTGACCAAGTTTTCTGACCTCTTAGATCTTAGCTTTTTTTTTTTAAATCTATCAATGGAGATCGTAATATTAATACTTTCCTTTGTGCTGCTGCAAGAAACAAATTAAATAAACCATGTGTATTAGACTCTCAGGGATGCCATAACAAATTACCGTAAGCAAAGTGGCGTAAGACAGCAGAAGTGTATTTACTTTACTCTCAGAGTAAAGGCTACTCTGGAAGCTAGAAATCTGAAATTAAGGTGTTTGGCAGGGCCATGCTCTGAAGGAAACTTTCCTTGCCTCTTCCAGCTTCTGGTGGCTACTGGCAATCCTTGGTTTTCCTTGGCGTTCCTTGGCTTGTGGCCACATAGCAACAATCTCATCCTCCATCTTCACGTGGCCTTCTTTTCTGGGTATACATGTGTCTCACATCTCTCCTTTGTGTAAGGACATCAGTCATAGGATTTAGGGCCTATCCTAATTCAGTATGACCTCATGGTTTACCTTTATTATATCTATAAAGATTTTATCTCCAAATAAGATCTCGGGGTTAGGACTTCAACATAGCATTCTGGAAACACAGTCCAATACACAACAGTATGTAAAAATGCTTAGTACAGTGACAGTACATATATATATATATTTAATAGCCTATTGCATTTTCATTTTTAGATATGTGAAAAATTCATCTTGATAACGGAAAGCTTTCTTAGAAATCATTTTTGTGAGCTTCAGTTTATTCATGTTTTCCTTATATTTCATAGTTTTATAGAGTCATAGATTCCGACTTTTCAGACTTCAAAGGTCACTCAGTACAGCTACCCATCCAGCTGGTTTGGAGTATTCTCTGCATCTTTAACAAGTTGTTCTTTAGCCCCTGCTTCCCTTTCTAGCTCCAGGATAAGGAACACAGAACCATTCAAAGAACCTATTTTACCTTCTAGTGTCAGTAAGTCTTCTGTCTCTTAAGTCCAAATCTGTCTCCTTTAATTTTAGTCACTAGTTCCAGGTCTCCAGCTGGAAGTAACATAAGAACCAATTCAATTCTTCTTCCCCATCTCTGCCTCTCACCTAGTTCAAGTCAGTTATCACGACCGTGATAACCATAACCCTCATGGTTCCCCGCTGATCAGCCCAGTTTCCCCGGCTGGGCTTTTTTTTTTTTTTTTTTTTTTTTTTTAATATGGTCGCAAGTTCCTTCAACATTCTGGTTATGATTTTATTAATAGATTTTAATTTGTCTATAACAAATAATATGATTTGCCTTGTCAGGTAAATCGCAGAGTGGAATCCTTTGGAGGCCTCAGTTCTGACACAGACTGAGGAAATGGGCGCTGGCAGTGGTTCAGCTGGACCTGAGAGTGGACCCCAGGCTGACCCAGTTGGATTGAGCAGTGGTCTGGGAAGGGGGCTCTGGGGCCCAGTGACTCCAGAAGAATTTGTGGTATTTTAAAAAATGCAAACAATCCTGGCTAACACGGTGAAACCCTGTCTCTACTAAAAATACAAAAAAATTAGCCGGGCATGGTAGCAGGCGCCTGTAGTCCTAGCTACTTGGGAGGCTGAGGCAGAAGAATGGCGTGAACCCAGGAGGTGGAGCTTGCAGTTAGCTGAGATCGTGCCACTGCACTCCAGCCTGGGTGACAGAGCAAGACTCTGTCTCCAACAACAACAACAACAACAACAAAAGCAAACAAATGATACACAGGTACTTAATATAAATAAACATTGATAGTTGTGGTGAACTTACTTGAGCTCTTCCAAATGGATGATCATTAATAGACAAACCACTTAGATTTAGGAGGTCTACATTTCCTCAGCTGCTAAATAATAGTACAGGTAGAATCTGTGTTTTCCTATCTGAATTCCTTACCTCTAAATTTTTTGTTTGCTAATGTTACCTAGTAAAGAATTATATTTCTGATCATTATCTTTTTATTCACTTATTTGCAAGTTCTTGCCAATGTCCAACAAATTGATGCATAAACCCAGTATCATTTTTATCAATAGTCTACCATAACATTCTTTAAAAAATTTATTTAAAGTGACACATACTGTACATATTTATGGGGCACACAGTGATATTGTGATACATGTAATGTATAGGGTTCAGATCAGGGTAGTTACCATACCCATCTCAAACATTTACCATGTTCTTAATTAGAGACTACGGTATGCAAGGCATTGTGAATTTTACAATCTCAGGGTACAAGGCATGTGTGCAGGATTTTAACTCATTGACACACACGCATTCACTCATGAAACAAAAAATACAGCTTATGGGATACAGTGCATTAAAAAAGACAAAGATGGCTTGTATCTGTCCTACTTAAATATCTTGGTTAATTTGAAGATTAAATGATGTAATGTATGAAAACAACATTAGCAAGTGTTAGCAGACACTGCAACTCACTGTGCGCCAGATTGTTCCACAAGCTTTACATGTGTTCACTTATTTAATCTTTCTAACAAGTCTATGTGGTACATGCTAATAATATAACCAGTTTTCAAAAGGGGGAACTGAAGCTTAGGATGGCTGAATGACTTACTCAATCATATGACTAGTCACTGGAGGAGCTAGGATTCAAATACAGCCAGTCTAACTTGAGAATTTGTTCTCATAACCACTGTACTATATTACTACTCTTAAAAACATGTAAAGATATACATTAATCTATTCATACAGTATGTTACCACATCATTACAAAATGATGTATCTTGCATGAAAATGGAATTGCTGGAATTAGGCAAGCTTTGTTCATTCTGGGGCTTTATATTTACTTGATTATTTTAGTCTAAAATCATCAAATTAGGTATGAGATGGCCACATTAGGATAGTCAAATTATTTTAGTTACTAAAAAGTCCAGATTATATTCTGGGTGTTTTGTACAATATTAAGATAAGTTCTGTACTTGGCTTTAGAAAAATACTTGGGTGTAAAAAAAATGTTTTTCTCTTACTTTTTAGGTTACCATCTTGAAAGAAAAATAAGAAAGCATTGTTTTTTTTTTTTTAGAACATAGAAATTATATTCTTTGAGATCATGTCCTTTGCAGGGTCATGGATGAAGCTGGAAGCCATCCTCCTCAGCAAACTAACACAGGAACAGAAAACCAAATACTGCCTGTTTAAGTGGGAGTTGAACATTGAGAACACATGGACATAGGGGACACAGGGAGGGGAACAACACACACCGGGGCCTATTGGGGGTGAGGGGCGAGGGGAGGGAACTTAGGGGATGGGTCAATAGGTGCAGCAAAGCATCATGGCGCACTGATACCTATGTAACAAACCTGCACGTTCTGCACATATATCCTATTTTCTTTTTTTTTAAGAACTGAAGAAAAACAAAAAATAAAAACAAGAAATTATATTCTTTTAATTTGAAAATTTTTTCCCATCCTTTGATTGTTAGAGGGTTTACTTCCCAAATAAAACCAAAATATACATCATTTGCCTTAAATTCCCTTCTTATTTCTGAAATTTCTTTACTCATAGTCAGGGGATACTCCTGCTGTGAATGAATAAGAATTTTTGCTACTTTGTTCCAATTTGAAAAGGAAAACGATTGGTAGAACTGGGCATCTCTCAAATTCTTCCGGTATTTATTCTCCTGACCTTGCTCTTTAAGGTCACCAATATTTTTGGTGACATTGATAGATGAAGTAGCAGGTGATTCCCAGGGATGGATATGTTGTTCCATATCTAATTGATTGTGGCACAAAAGCCTTTTATGTTTCTGTCCCATGACCAAGGAGAGGTAAAGAGATTATACTCCGTGCTCTCACAATATGTGGGAAATCAGTATTGGAGGAACTATCCACACTGGGGGTGGTTGGATAGATAGGGATTGAAAGTAGGATTGTTTATGTCTCCCTCTTAGCTTTCTTTACCAGAACATTAATTAGATGTGAAGCTAATAGAATACAGTATATGCTATAGGGAAAGAATATGACCTATCATGAACATGGGTTCTTGAATTAGATTCCTTGGATTCAAATAATATTTTATTGCTTCATAGGTATGTGTCCATAAACAAGTTACTTAATTACTCTGGGCTTTGATTTCCTTATCTACCAAACAAGAATACCAAAAGTAGCCATTTCATGGCTTATCATTGGGATTATCAGCTAATTCTTATAAAATAGAATAGTAACTGACACATGGCAAGCTCTCAATGAATGTTAGTGATCACTATTGTTATCAACAAAGAATACTATTATTTTTGCTTCTTTTTATGTCTGGCAAACTACTACTCATCCTTGAATGTTCCGTTGTCTCTTCTATGAAGTCTTCTCTGACAGTCATTTGCTCCTCTTTGTAACTTCCATATTAAATTGCCTGCAACAATTACAAAAATTCTTCCAACAAGAATAAAACTTCATGGTCCACAGCAAGAATAAAAATTCTTCCAAGAATATGCTTGTTGTATATTTTTCATCTCCACTACTTGCAAACTCTCAGATATCAGAAATTACTTAATTATGTAATTATTTTAGAAAGCAATGCTCAGCACAGCACTTACTATATTAGGCATCTGTGATTGGTAAATAAATAAAAAATGAGAGGATGCTGAACTATAACATGGTCTTTGCTATATCATTGTCTATTCTTGGTTCTAAGTATACTGCCAAATTAAAGTTCATTGCCAGAATCTGTTATTGGCAAGAGCAAGGCAACTGAATTACCATAAAGAAGGTTATCAGAGTAAAATTGAAGATATGATTTTGGAATTACACTTACTTTTGGCAAAATGATACAAGACCATACAAATAATAAAATTTATAACTAGTTTTCCCATCTCTAATCTCAATGCTGTTGAATCATTTCTATTTCGTTCTAACAGATTATTCTTTCTAAAGCACTGCTTTCAAGATTTTTTTTCTGCTCCCAGACCTACAATGTTTTGTCATACCTAGTGAAAATTATACTAGCTAAAAATTTTGAGTGGTTATTTGGTACCAGGTACTCTGCTAAGCATTTCCATCTTTATCTTATATAATCAACCCAGGTATTCTCTTAGAAAGGAAACTCAGTGAGAATGGACCCTTATCTTTTTAAGTCAATACTCTTCCCAGATTAATGCCTGATTAATGCTCTCGATGGTACTGAATGAATAAGTTAGGCACTATTATTTTTATTTATGTATTTATTTATTTATTTTGAGACAGAATTTTGCTCTGTTGGACAGGCTGAGTGCAGTGACATGATCTCGGCTCACTGCAGCCTCCGTCTCCGGGGCTGAAGCAATTCTCCTGGTTAGGCACTATTATTATTCCCTTTTTATAAATTAGAAATATAAGAAACAGCAATTGACCCGGAGAATAAAAGGCAGAGTTAGGATTTTAACATATGTGGTCTGTCTTCCTCTTCTACAGATAGATATTAATATCCTAAAGGTTATACTTCACCCTTTTCAGCCTAGCATTTGAGTAAGGAGCAGCAAACTCTGACTGCAGAAAGCTTCAGACAGGCTGCTGAAACTTTTGAACTTGCCGGGTTTATTTCCAGTGACAAGTGTTTGCCCTCCCTAGATCATCTTTGCATTTTTTCTAATTGTGTTCTATGTATTGACTTTGTCGTTCCAAATAGATTGCAGCTCTTGGAAGGCAGTATGTTATCCTAGTCTTTATTATTTTTCACTGGCCTAATTCAAGTGGCTAAGCTTTACATTTCTGAAACAAATAAGTATTTATTCATTCAGTGAGTATTTATTGAGCGCACCAATTATGTGTGATTTTGGATCTGAAGTTGCAGCAATAATCATGAGAGGCAATGTTCTTATTTTCAAGATATTTATCTTTGAAGGCAGAAGATAAGTAATAAACATAATAAGGCAGTGATTAGTGCAATGGAGAATATAAAACTGAGGAAAGAACTGGCAAGTGATGGCAGGTGGCAATGTTAATTTGGTAGTGGTGGGGGCGAGGGCAGCAAGGGAAGGCATTTCTGAGAAGATAGCACTTGAAGTGGGTCGGTGAGACCTGAAAGAGGAAGGAGGCAGTCATGAGACAATACTCTGTCCCGGGGCAAAGGCAACTTAAAAGATGGAAATAAACTCGGCATGTCTGAGGAAACAGAAGGATGGCCAGTGTGGGTGGGTCATTGGAATTGGGAGAACAGACATAGGCAGTAACCAGACTGTGTGGCACCTTCTTGGCCATGGACTACGGACCACTGACTATGGCTTTTAATTCATTAAAGTGAAATGAAATGCTGTAAGAAGATGTTAAGCAGCAGAGAAAAATATCGGCTTTGTATTTTGAAGGATCATTCTATTAAAAGGTAATTTTAGTAGGATAGGAGTGGAAGAATACACAACTTTTTTTTCTTTTTTTTTTCTTCTTTTTCTTTTTTTGAGATGGACTCTCACTCTGTTGCACAGGTTGGAGTGCAGTGGCAGGATCTTGGCTCACTGCAACCTCCACCTCCCAGTTTTAAGCGATTCTCCTCCCTCAGCCCTCCTAGTAGCTGGGATTACAGGCACATGCCACTAATTTTTGTGCTTTTAGTAGAGACGGGGTTTTGCCATGTTGGCCAAGCTGGTCTTGAACTCCTGACCTCAGGTAATCCACCCGCCTCAGCCTCCCAAAGTGCTGGGATTACAGGTGTGAGCCACTATGCCTGGCTATAGACAACTGTTAGTAAGCAAGTGTAGTAATCCAGAAGAGAGATGGTACAACGTATTTCAGGACAGAAGGGATAGAGATGGAGGGAAAAATCAAAAAACCTCCAAAAACAAATAGGATGTAATTAGAGGAAGAGCCAATAGAATTGACTAGTGAGTTGTATGTGAAAGGTGACGAAAAGAGAATTATAGATGATTTCTAGGTTTTTGGCATGAAGTCTGAGTAGACAGTGTAGCTGTTCACTGAAGAGGGGATGCCTTGGGAAGGGAGAGAGAATAAAAAAAAATTAATAGGTGGATCTAGGTATTAAAGAGATAGATCATACGTATCTATTTAGTTCCTTACTTATTTACCATCTTGGTCCACAAAGGATTTGAAACATTTTATAAAGGGAACACATGTTATAAATAATGATAAAATAGACATACAGAGTAGGGAAGAAGGGAAATATAAGCAGAAGTAGAAAGTCACATACTGGGTAGAAAAAATATATGCAGGTGATTAGACTCTAAGTAGTTACTATTATTCAGACTTAGATTTGTCTCTGAGAAAAAAAGTGAGTCTTGGTCAGTTACTTAGTTTTTATTATCAGATCAGAGGAAGCATAACTATCCTTCAGAAGAAGCAAACTTTTTCAGGCCTTAGGTTTTAAAAGAAATTCTTCACAATGAGGCTCAGAGGAGGATGCACTAGAGAATGGAGTGAGAATTCTGATTCAGTTTCAGTGAAGAGCCTTCTTAGGAAAGGACTATGCTAAATAGACATAAAATGCTTGTAGAGTAATTCAAAGAATTCAAACTTTTCAATAGGACCTACCCCTGAGGATTTCTTTTCTAAGCTCAAATTCTTCTTAAGGACTTTCCTGGATGATACTGACAGTCTTCAGTGGACAGCCCAAGCTACCAGTCTTTTAGGTGGATTTAGCCACCATTATTAACATTAAGGCCAATGGTCTATACGAATTTCCTACTTAATGTGTGATAATGAAGGTCTTGGTTTTTTCTAAAAGCTCAGAATTGATTTTGGGTTCAAATTTCTAAACCAGACTACTTTGCTTTTTTCCCTTCCCCTCCTTCAATATTTCATTTCTTAAAAAATTCTTCCCATGTACCCCCAGAGACAAGTTCTTTGCAGGACCATGTGCTGTGGCATTTATGATGAAGAATATGCACTCCTACAATTGTATACAGACGAGGTTATCTTGAACTTTGGGCCATGTTTCAAGACACACATGTTTATTTAGACATCGGGCTTATCTAGTAATTTTTTGAAAATTGGAGAGCAGGTCTCTGTTTCTCTGAGATAGATCTATAGAAGATTTTGTCTACAATCTGTGATTAAAGATAGAGTTAATAATTTGAACATGGAATCTTTTCTTAAAATATGTAACAAATGTAGGAAGACAATTTTACAACAAAGAGCTCTGCTCAAAGTTCTAATGAAATTTCTTCTTATAAAAATATTCAGGATGGTATTAGGTATTATAAGTTTTCTCCTAGAGTTGTTTTAGGTTTTACATTTAAGTCTTTAGTCCATCTTGAGTTGGTTTTTTTGTATGTGGTGAAAGGAAGGGGTCCAGTTTTGATCATCTCCATATGGCTATGCAGTTATTCCAGCACCATTTGTTGAATAGGGATTCCTTCCCCATTTTGTTATTGTCGAAGATCAGATGGTTGTAGATGTACTACAGCTTTATTTCTGGGGTTCTCTAAGCTGTTCCATTGGTCTATGTGTCTATTTTTGTTCCAGCACTATGTTGTTTTCATTACTGTAGCCTAGAACTATAGTTTAAATCCAGGTGGTGTAATGTTTCTGGCTTTGTTCTTTTCACTTAGGATTGCTTTGGGTATTTGGGCTCTTTTTTGGTTCTATGTGATTTTTAGAATAGTTTTTTTTTCTAATTCTGTGAAAAATTTTGTTGGTACTTTGATAGAAATAGCATTGAATCTGTAAGTTGATATAGTCAGTATGGTCATTTCAACTTTAGAAGAAAACTTAAAAGAGATCATTCTGGATGGACACAGGCCCTGGCAAATATTTCATGATGGAAACTCTAAAAGCATTTCAACAAAAACAAAAATTAACAAATGAGACCGAATTAAATTAAAGAGCTTCTGCGCAGCAAAATAAATTAACAGAGTAAACAGATAACCTATAGAATGGAGGAAAATATTTGTAAACTATGCATCTGACAAAGGTCTAATATCCAGAATCTATAAGGAACTTAAACAAATTAACAAGCAAAAACAAACAATCCCATTAAAACATGGGCAAAGGATATGAATACACACTTCTCAAAGGAAGACACACATGCAGCCTACAGGCTTATGAAAAAATGTTCAGCATCACTAATTATTAGAGAAATGCAAATCAAAACCACAATTGAGATACCAGTCAGACTGGCTATTATTAAAAAGTCAAGAAAGAACAGATGCTGACGAGTTTGCAGAGAAAAGGGGATGCTTATACACTGCTGGTCGGAATGTAAATTAGTTTACCCACTATGGAAAGCAGTTTGGTGATTTCTCAAGGAATTTAAAACAGAACTACCATTTGACCAAGCAATCTCATTATTGGATATACACCCAACGGAATATAAATTGTTCTACTATAAAAACACATGCACGCTTATATTCATTGCAGCACTATTCATAATATCAAAGACGTGGAATCAAGTTAAATTCCCATCATTGGTGGATTGGATAAAGAAAACATATACACCATGGAATACTACACAGCCATCAAAAAGATTGAGATCATGCCCTTTGCAACAATATGGATAGAGCTGGAAGCCATTATCCTAAGTGAAGTAACAGGAACAAAAAACCAAATACTACATGTTCTCACTTACAAGTGGGAGCTAAACACTGAGTACACATGGACACAAAGAAGGGAACAATAGACACGATGGCCTACTTGAGAGTGGCAGGAGGACAATGAGATAGGAAGAGATTCATTTCTTTTATGAACTTAAGAAAACATCTTGTGAAGCTGAGATTTTGAGAAAAGAAATGAGGTAGTCTTTTGATAAATTGAGATAAAGAGGTTATTAGATATGTGTTTTAGCACACTTCCATTTCTGCTCATTACATACTCTTTTTCCTAATAAATTTCAAAGATTACAAAGCAACAAGAAACATTACAGAGAAAGGTTTCCTGTTTTGACCGATTTTACATATTTCTTTATTTTTTTACCAGATTGCTTCATCATTATTTTCCCTGTCTGATATATTTGGATGTGTCCCCAACCAAATCTCATCTTAAATTGTAACTTCCGTAAATCCCACATGTCATGGGAAGAGCCCAGTGGGAAGTGATTGGATTATGGGGCAGATCTTTTCTGTGCTGTTCTTGTGATAGTGAATGAGTCTCATGAGATCTGATGGTTTTAAAAACAGGAGTTTCCCTGCACAAGCTCTCTCTTTGCCTGCAGCCATCCATGTAAAATGTGACTTGCTCCTCTTTGTCTTCCACCATGATTGTGAGGCCTTTCCAACGACGTGGAACTGTAAGTCTATTAACCTCTTTCTTTGGTAAATTGCCCAGTCTCAGGTATGTCTTTATCAGCAGTGTGAAAACAGACTAATACAGTGTCTATCCAGGCAATAGGATGAAAAGTCCCTGTTCATAAAGTCCTCTCTTCCACTGGAAGATGTTAAGGAACATCAGAGAGTGAGGGTTTGGTGCCTGTTGTCAGAGGACCAATGTTTCAATTATTGCTTTGGGTAAGTTAGGGAACTTCTGAGTTTTCTTATTTCTAAAAACGGAAGAGGAGATGATCTCATCTTCCTCTTTGGGCTGTTCTCAGGCTTAAGTGAGTTAATATGAAGGAAGGGGCCCAGCCTTTACATAGATGTTTGGGAAAGAGTCACCAAGACAGAAGGGAGAAATTACAGCATTTGTATAGAAAACAATATGGCATATTCTAGTTTCAAGTATTGCTATTTTTGAAACCAGCAGAACCATTGTATATTATAGGTTCTCTTCACAGGTTTTAAGTTACACTCTTCTTAATAGTATAATTGCATCCATTCACTCATTATTCATTTATTCACTCACTTAAATATTTATTGGTACCTAATTTGGGTCATGACACAGTTTTAGGTACTGGGTGTGAGAACATGAGCAATATGTAGAATGTTGAATTTTATATGCAGCTGAATTATCATATAAATGTGAAGGTTTGGTTATGTGTCTCAGAATATTTACTATACAGAGACCATCTCTGAAAGAATTCTTAGAGGATATAGAACAAGAAGATGAGAAATGAATTGAGGGGGAGAGATAAAATATATCAAGTTAGGTTATATTAAAATTCAGTAAAATGGCCAGGTGCAGTGCCTCACACCTGTAATCCCGGCACTTTGGGAGGCTGAGGCAGGGGCATTGCTTGAGCCCAGGAGTTCAAGACTAGCCTGGGAAACATAGTGAGACCCTGTCTCTACAAAAAATAAAAAGATTAGCTGACTATGGTGGCATGTGCTTGGATTCCTAGCTCTTTGGGAGGCTGAGCCAGGAGGGTTGCTTGAGCCCAAGAATTTGAGGCTATAATGAGCTATGATCATGCCACTGTGCTTCAGTCTGGGCAACAGAGCAAACTGTGTCTCTAGAATAAATAAATGAATATAATGTATTTTTATATAAATGAGGAAAGATTAAAAGGGAAACCTGTATATCCACAAAAATCTCGCAGAACAATTTCAGATAAAACCCATATGGGCCTGAGAAGGATGGTTGTGGAACAGATGAAGTAAGAGCATATTGAGCTTCCCATTGTATTCAAGGGAACATATGGATATTGAAAACCTCAGACACTAATTGGAAAAAAATTAACATTAGTCTTGGCCTCAAAAAGAGAAGAATAAACATGGCTTTTATTACATTTAAACTAAAAAATGAAATATTCTATCTATATCCAATGGAGCCTAGAAAAACAAAAAAAAGGGGGGAAAAACACGGAGTGTTTCATAGATAATACAAAATATGCCAATAGAAATCAGTTTTAGTATAACTAAAGGAAATATGATCTATAAATTCAAAGATCAGAAGTCAATCTGGCTGGATCTAAATATAATATTCAGTAATATTTTGGATAATGAAGACATACTTAAAATGATGCAAAAATGTTGAAAATAATGGGATAGAAAAAGATTTTCCAGGCAACTAGGAACCATGTGCTTAAAGTAAAACAAAACAAAAAAGTTTCAAAAAAGACAAAGAAGATCATTAGATCCAGAATTTACAGAGGCCAAGAATGCAATGATTTGGAAGGTAGACTAAAAGAAAAGAGCAAATAAATAAGAGCCAGTGATGCTCTTGTAGGAGGGAAAGGAATGGGATCGAGATTTTTATCTATTGGAAAAAATGGTATAAATCAGATGGATGTACATGAACTAATGGTGATACATGCCATGGCCAATTATGTCCACTGATGTTCAAAAGAAGCAAAATAAAGCAAGGTGATGGGAAGGGGGGATATGTACTTAGAAGGCTATGGGGCTAATTAGGAAGCCCTTGGATTGTTATGAAGCTTGCCGTATTATTTGTCTAACATACTGATGCAGAGATATCCTAATAACTACTTAAGGGAGTTATATAAATGAGTGAATAAGAGCAAGGACGTTGGTGTCAATGAGACATGGGTTGAAGTTCTTACTATATCTTGTGTTTGTGGTCTTGGGGGAACTGCTTAATTCAAGCTTTGGTTCTTCCTTTTTAAACATCACATTATAGGGATGATATGAGGATGAAATGAAATAATGCATGTAAACTGTTTAGCATAGTGCTTGCCACGTGATACTGTCAAGAAAAGAGCATGTTTGGAACAATTTTCAGGTCTCTTTAATTTCTCTGACAATGCCTATTATCATTATTTTCACTTCACTGCATATGTAATTCTGGGTCATAACTTTATTCCTCAAAACTGTCTTGCTGTTTTCCCATTGTCTTAGAAATTTACAGTTGCAGAAAAGGATGAAAGATGCCAGATTTATTTTTAGGACACCTGTTTCCTCAGTTTGGATTAAAAACATATATTTTCTATGTCTTTGAATTCCAAAAATTTTGCTGAAATTCATGTAAGTATGGGTGCTTTTATCAGTAGTTTAATCTCAAACATGTGTGACCTTTCAATCTACCTATGGAGTTCTTTCTTTAGCTCAGAAAAAAGTTTATTATATTTTTGTTCAGTGCTTTGTTTGGTTCCATTTTTATCCAGGTTTTCTAACATAAATGTTTGTTTTTTACAAATATTTCGTGAGCAGTATAGAATACAGTTTCTTCTTTGTGTGTGCACGTATGTGTATGTGTATGAAATCAGCCTTTTTAATTACACTTATCTTCTATGTTCATGTTTGTTTTTGACCATTTGATATTTGCCTTCCAAAATTTTAATTAGCTCTCTCTAAATTTGATAACTTGTTTCTTCACTAAGAAACAATTTTTCTACCTTTTTCCAATACTTGAATTATTAAGTAAATGTTGATGTCACTAAGACATATTGAAAGATAAATAAGCCAAATGCTTTTGAATTGTGATCTATTTAAGAATGTGTCAATATTAAGTTTTCTATACTATTGTGATTTTGCCTATTTCTCCTATTAACAATATTTAATGAAATACGATTTAGGGCATAAAAGTATATGCTATCTTAATGATTTATCCTTTATCATGTTAAAATGTCACTCTTTAAAAACTATCTATTTGATATTTATTTTTAATGTTTCTGGTATTGAGTTTCGAATACCTAAACCTATTATGTTTGAATTTGTCTAAAATATGTTTGTCTGTCGTTTTTGGATTTTTGTGATGTTGTTTTAGCTTTGTTCTTTGTAATCAGCATACTCATGTAAACACCAAATTTTGTCTTTTGATTCAGTTTACAAGTCTTTTAACAAGGAATAATTATCCATTTTATACTTGAAAAGTTTTAAATAAATAGTGCACGTTCCTGTCATTTTGTCCTTTTTCTTTTTTGTTTCTCTATACTTGCCTCTATGTTGCCCCTTTAAAATTTTTATTTGTCTTGAAAAAAATTTTTTTTAAGTTACAGTATAGTACATGGTTTATTATCTTTTATGTCTTCCACTCTTTTGGAAAGTATAATTTTTGCAAAGTGGCTTCCTTTAAATTTTCAAACGTTATGTTTAATCTCTATTCAGCTCATTTTCAAAGTTGAGTAAAATATTTGAGTGGCTCCCTTTGAGATATGGTGTTTAACATGCTATAATTTTCTTCTATCTCTTCCTTCTACCTCCTTTTCAATATAACATGGAATTTTAAATGCAGATAATTTGTATAATATTGCATAATTTTACACTATACTTTTTAAATAAATGGACTGATATTAATTCTTTAAGTCTTAGCTCAGGTGTTGCCTCCCCCGCTTATGCCCCCTACTTCATAAAGTCTCTCATATTTCTTTTTTTTTAATTTTATTATTATTACACTTTAAGTTTTAGGGTACATGTGCACAATATGCAGGTTTGTTACATATGTATACATGTGCCATGTTGGTGTGCTGCACCCATTAACTCGTCATTTAACATTAGGTATGTCTCCTAATGCTATCCCTCCCCCCTCCCCCTACCCCACAACAGTCCCCGGAGTGTGATGTTCCCCTTCCTGTGTCCATGTGTTCTCATTGTTCAATTCCCACCTATCAGTGAGAACATGCCATGTTTGGTTTTTTGTCCTTGTGATAGTTTGCTGAGAATGATGGTTTCCAGTTTCATCCATGTCCCTACAAAGGACATGAACTCATCCTTTTTTATGGCTGCATAGTATTCCATGGTGTATATGTGCCACATTTTCTTAATCCAGTCTATCGTTGTTGGACATTTGGGTTGGTTCCAACTCTTTGCTATTGTGAATAGTGCCACAGTAAACATATGTGTGCATGTGTCTTTATAGCAGCATGATTTATAATCCTTTGGGTATATACCCAGTAATGGGATGGCTGGGTCAAATGGTATTTCTAGTTCTAGATCCCTGAGGAATCGCCACACTGACTTCCACAATGGTTGAACTAGTTTACAGTCCCACCAACAGTGTAAAAGTGTTCCTATTTCTCCACATCCTCTCCAGCACTTGTTGTTTCCTGACTTTTTAATGATCGCCATTCTAACTGGTGTGAGATGGTATCTCATTGTGGTTTTGATTTGCATTTCTCTGATGGCCAGTGATGATGAGCATTTTTTCATATGTTTTTTGGCTGCATAAATGTCTTCTTTTGAGAAGTGTCTGTTCATATCCTTCACCCACTTTTTGATGGGGTTGTTTGTTTTTTTCTTGTGAATTTGTTTGAGTTCATTGTAGATTCTGGATATTAGCCCTTTGTCAGATGAGTAGGTTGCGAAAATTTTCTCCCATTTTGCAGGTCGCCTGTTCACCCTGATGGTAGTTTCTTTTGCTTTGCAGAAGCTCTTTAGTTTGATTAGATTCCATTTGTCAATTTTGGCTTTTGTTGCCATTGCTTTTGGTGTTTTAGACATGAAGTCCTTGCCCATGCCTATGTCCTGAATGGTATTGCCTAGGTTTTCTTCTAGGGTTTTTATGGTTTTAGGTCTAACATATAAGTCTTTAATCCATCTCTAATTAATTTTCGTTTAAGGTGTAAGGAAGGGATCCAGTTTCAGCTTTCTACATATGGCTAGCCAGTTTTCCCAGCACCATTTATTAAATAGGGAATCCTTTCCCCATTGCTTGTTTTTGTCAGGTTTGTCAAAGATCAGATGGTTGTAGATATGCAGCATTATTTCTGAGGGCTCTGTTCTGTTCCATTGATCTATCTCTCTGTTTTGGTACCAGTACCATGCTGTTTTGGTTACTGTAGCCTTCTGGTATAGTTTGAAGTCAGGTAGCGTGATGCCTCCAGCTTTGTTCTTTTGGCTTAGGATTGACTTGGCGATGCGGGCTCTTTTTTGGTTCCATATGAACTTTAAGCTAGTTTTTTCCAATTCTGTGAAGAAAGTCATTGGTAGTTTGATGGGGATGGCATTGAATCTATAAATTACCTTGGGCAGTATGGCCATTTTCACGATATTGATTCTTCCTACCCATGAGCATGGAATGTTCTTCCATTTGTTTGTGTCCTCTTTTATTTCATTGAGCAGTGGTTTGTAGTTCTCCTTGAAGAGGTCCTTCACATCCCTTGTAAGTTGGATTCTTAGGTATTTTATTCTCTCTGAAGCAATTGTGAATGGGAGTTCACTCATGATTTGGCTCTCTGTTTGTCTGTTATTGGTGTATAAGAATGCTTGTGATTTTTGTACATTGATTTTGTATCCTGAGACTTTGCTGAAGTTGCTTATCAGCTTAAGGAGATTTTGGGCTGAGACAATGGGGTTTTCTAGATATACAATCATGTCATCTGCAAACAGGGACAATTTAACTTCCTCTTTTCCTAATTGAATACCGTTTATTTCCTTCTCCTGCCTAATTGCCCTGGCCAGAACTTCCAACACTATGTTGAATAGGAGTGGTGAGAGAGGGCATCCCTGTCTTGTGCCAGTTTTCAAAGGGAATGCTTCCAGTTTTTGCCCATTCAGTATGATATTGGCTGTGGGTTTGTCATAGATAGCTCTTATTATTTTGAGATACGTCCCATCAATACCTAATTTATTGAGAGTTTTTAGCATGAAGGTTGTTGAATTTTTTCAAAGGCCTTTTCTGCATCTATTGAGATAATCATGTGGTTTTTGTCTTTGGCTCTGTTTATATGCTGGATTACATTTATTGATTTGCGTATGTTGAACCAGCCTTGCATCCTAGGGATGAAGCCCACTTGATCATGGTGGATAAGCTTTTTGATGTGCTGCTGGATTCGGTTTGCCAGTATTTTATTGAGGATTTTTGCATCAATGTTCATCAAGGATATTGGTCTAAAATTCTCTTTTTTGGTTGTGTCTCTGCCAGGCTTTGGTATCAGGATGATGCTGGCCTCATCAAATGAGTTAGGGAGGATACCCTCTTTTTCTATTGATTGGAATAGTTTCAGAAGGAATGGTACAAGTTCCTCCTTGTACCTCTGGTAGAATTCAGCTGTGAATCCATCTGGTCCTGGACTTTTTTTGGTTGGTAAACTATTGATTATTGTCACAATTTCAGAGCCTGTTATTGGTCTATTCAGAGATTCAACTTCTTCCTGTTTTAGTCTTGGGAGGGTGTATGTGTCAAGGAATTTATCCATTTCTTCTAGATTTTCTAGTTTATTTGCGTAGAGGTGTTTGTAGTATTCTCTGATGGTAGTTTGTATTTCTGTGGGATCGGTGGTGATATCCCCTTTATCATTTTTTATTGTGTCTATTTGATTCTTCTCTCTTTTCTTCTTTATTAGTCTTGCTAGCGGTCTATCAATTTTGTTGATCTTTTCAAAAAACCAGCTCCTGGATTCATTAAGTCTCTCATATTTCTATGTGGACTTAATCATGTCTTCCTCTTTGAATATTTTTCATGTGTTCTTTCCAGCATGTTCCCTATTGGCATCATAATTACTAGTGTAGACATATTGCTGGCATTGTAGAAGAGTCCTGTATATTTAAACTACCATCAGAAGTTTTATGTTGTTGAATAGAGGTCACATAACCCTGCTTTTTGGCTAATATTGATTTAACCTGGTAATTTAAATACATTCTTAGTATATGTTTATTCTAATTGAAACCTTTCCTTTCATCATAGATGGGAGGTGAGGTATGGATAGAAGGAATTTCAAATGATTTGGATTTGGGTTTGATGTGTTAAGCTCACTTTCTGATTTATCTGCTCCACAAGTGAGATGTTTTCCAAGGAAATCAAGCATGACGCTTGTGTCTTTTGATACCCTGTGCTCCGATTTCAAACATGATGCAGCTGATGCTGATGCCCCCATCACTGAGAACAAGAATTCTCTCCCTGAGGTTGTTAGCATTACTGGTACCACTCATGACTTTAGGCAAAATGCTTATTGATAATGTCATATTTTTACTCTTAAGGAAACTAAACTCATTGATTTCTAGAATTTATCTAAATGATGCTACAAAGTTTCAAACCTATGTTTATCATAATTGATAAGAACATTTCATAAGAACAATTTCATTTCAAGTGTAAATTGCTGAGCAATGCAACTCCAAGCATTAAATTCAAATATCAGCAAAAATGTATACGTGTATACACCATACATGTTTGTAGATAATAAAGAAAAATAGACTGTGTCCTGCCACATCATATTTATTATGCAAGTTACTTGTAATATATTTAAGTACAAAAATGAAGCTTTGAGATAAAAATTTAAATAAATAAATACAAGGAAAAGTAGTAGAAAGTGAGTTTTTCTCAGCCACACTTTCCCAATTCCCCATTAACTTCAGTGGTATCAGTTAACTCCTCTTTCTTTCCCCACTGATCCCTACCAAACTTTAAGCCTTTGAAATTCTACTCTCCCCAAAGAAGGAGGCTATATCCTTTGCTTACCTGCTTCCCTTAGCTAGGTGAGACAGGTTTTTCTTTATGTCTTTTGTTCACATACTAAATCTCAACTATATGGAGAGGCACTAGAGTTTTCACAGACATTTGCTTGCCTTAAAATTTTTGTAACTTATGCCTTCTTTTGAAACTTTTTTTTTTTACAATAAAAGTGCATGAGACAACTTCAAATCACATCAAATCACATGGCTAATGATATATTAAATGTGGAAAGTTTTTATACCTACTTTCTCTTCTCCCCAAGAGGACACTCTGGGGACTATAAGGAAATATTTTGTTGAAAGGAAATAGTTAAAATTTTGCTTTAACATATCCTTAGCAAGAGCAAGCCATTTATTCTCTTAAACTCAAAGGATAGTGTCCCTTGGGGACAGGGCCAGTCGGATTTGCTCTCCAATCCAATTCTTAGTGAAGAGCTTAGACTGAGAAGGCTGAGTAAATGTTGAAGGAATAATTTTTGCACAGCTTCACTGAAGAATGAAATGGTTGGGAGAAAGGATTAAATAATTTTATAATGGTTCTTTACTCATTATTGCATCATGTCTTCCTATAAAAATATTTTCATACTTAAAGATAGTATACTTCTTTGTGGATAAAATATTTAAGTTCATAAATTCATGTATGTCATTTGAAAACCAAATTTGGAAGCACTGAAAAATTAAATATAAATATTAAATTTCTGCTTTGAACCCACATGGAGTAAGAGGGACTAGATTTACCCTCTCCCCACCCATGTGAACTAGAAAACAAGGTGAAATATATGAGAAACACTGAGGATCTGGCTCAGTGTTTGGTACTGATGGACAATGAACACTGAGAGATGAGAAACTAATGGTGTGAGTCCTATGATTGCCTCAGGTTACTGCCTTGATAGAGTTTCTAGGCCATGGTATAAGTAGAGAGAACCCAGGCAGAGCTTGGTGGACTGCCTGAGTTGGGGAGATGGAACTGGGACTATGGAGGGATAAAAATACCTGGAGTTCAGGGGACAGGATTCAGGAGGATAGCAGGTTGCATGGGGAGAAAAAAGTTTAAAGATCGTAGGAGTCCCATTTGAGTATTTGGCAGAGTATTGATAGGCATGTGTGTGAGAAAAATACCTGAGGCTGACAAAGAGCCAGTTGAGAGTATCGGTGGGTAGAATGCCTAGCACTCTCATAGGATTGTGAATAATACCTACTGGTCAGACTCAAAAACCTTATAATTCACAGGGCACTGGGCAGAGAACTCAGAATGGTCTTGCCTCATTAGAAGGGACTAATTAAACTTAGGCTAAGTGCTGTTCTGATCTTACCTAGCACATCTTAGAAGAAAGGCATGAAAGAATATTTTTAAGTAACTTAAGTGCATCCCAGAACAAAGTTTTAAAATATTTGTAGTAAAACAAAAATATCTAGTACCTGATATGATAAAATTTATAATGTTGGCATCAATCAAATATTACCAGGTATGCAAAGAAACAGAAATAATATGTTATATTACTGATTATCATATTTCTCTTCATAATACATATTACCATATTTCTCTTCTTAATACTGAAGAGAAAAATCAATTAGTCAAAAGCAACCCAGAATTATCAGGCAATGACATTAAGACAGTTATTATCATTGTATTCCATATATTTAAAAAGTTTGGTAGAGACCAGAAAGATACAGAATCATCCAAATTGGACTCCAAGAGAGTAAAACTACAATTTCTAAGATCAAAAATACACTGTATAGAATTATCAATTAGACATTACAGAGGAAAGATTAGTGAACTTGAGGACATAGCAATAGAAACTATCCAAAATGAAATACAGGGATAAACTGTATGAAATAAATAAAGCATCATTGAACAATGAGACAATTTCAAGAGACTGATATATGAGTAATTGAAGTTACTGAAATGGGAGAAACAGAACAAATACTTGAAGATATATGGCTGAAAAGTTTCCAAATTGGATGAAAACTGTAACTATACACATCTACAAAACACAATGAATCCTAAGCACAGAAGTATAAAGAAAACTAAACCTGGACATATTATAATGAAATTGCTCAACATCAGTGATAAAGAGAAAATTCTAAAAGCAGCTGTAGGAAAAAAAGATGTTACATAGAAAGGAAAATTTTAAGAATGACAGCAGATTTCTCTGAAAACAGTGCAAGTCAGTGGATCAACTGAAAGAACTGCAAGGAAAAATACACAAATCCACAGTGATATATCAAGATTTCAATATACTGTCTCAATGTTTGATGCATAAGTCAGAAAAAATATGGAAGCCTTGAAAAATACTATCAACCAATTTGACCTGGTTGACATGTATGAAATACCCACTACTGAACAACAGATAAACATTTTTCCCAAGTGCACACCAAACATTTACCCAAGTAGACCGTATTCTAGACCCCCAAATAAGTCTCAATAGATATATTGAGACTGCAAAACTCATGCCTGTAATCCTAGCACTTTGGGAGGCTGAGGTAGGCGGATCACCTGAGGTTAGGAGTGCGAGACCAGCCTGGCCAACATGGTGAAACCTGGTCTGTACAAAAAATACACAAATTAGCTGGGTGTGGTGGCGCATGCCTGTAATCCCAGCAACTCTGGAGGGTGAGGCAGGAAAATCACTTGAACTCGGGAGGCGGAGTTGCAGTGAGCTGAGATGGAGATCGCGCCACTGCACTACAGCCTGGGCGACAGAGTGAGACTTTATCTCAAAAAAAAAAAAAAAAAAGTTATATGTGAAATTCCCAGATATTTAGAAATCAAATAATGGACTTCTGAATAATTCAGAGGTCAAGGAAGAAATAAAAAGTGAAATTAGAAATTATTTGAATTGAATGAAAATGAAAATAGAACATATAACAATTAAATGCTACCATCTTAAGAAACTAGAAAAAAAAAAGAACTAATTAAACCCAAGGTAAGGAGAAGAAATAATATAATAAAAGTCACAGTGGGAATCAATCATTGAAATAGGAAACTTAAAAACAATAGAGAAAAAGTAAGTGAAAGCAAAAACTGGTTCTTTGAGAAGACAAAGAAAATTGATAAACCTTTGGTCCAAGTGATTAAGAAAAAGGGAAGAAGAGACAAATTACCTATATCAAGAATAAGAGCGATAACATGACTCCAGATTTTATAAATATTAAAAAGATAACTTTATAGGAATAAAGTCAACATCTTAGATAAAATGGACAAATTCCATGTAAACCACACATTGTTAAAGCTCTCTCAAAAATAATTAGATAACTTGAATAGTCATAGTAAAGAAATTGAAGTTGTAATTAAAAATCTCTCCACAAAGAAAACTCAGGTCAGACATCTTAACTAGTGAATTCTACCAAACATTTAAGAATGACATGAAAGAATTTTAAACAAGCTTTTCCAGAAAATTTAAGAGGAGAGAATACTTCCCAACTTATTCTATGAGACTATTATTGTCCTGATTTCAAAATCAAACACATCACAAGGAAAGAAAACTGTACATCATTATTTCTTGTGAGCACAGACACAAATTTTTTTAAAAAGTTAAACAAATCAAATCTAACAATTTATAAAAAGAATAATACATTGTCACTAAGTAGAGTTTTCCAAGGAATGCCGTGTTGGTTTAACATCTCGAAATCAATCATTGTGATTTATTTTGACCTCCTAGTCTCAAGGGTTTCTCCTGTATCAGCCTCCTGAGTGGCTGGGACTGCAGATGCATGTCACTACACCTGGCTAATTAAAACAATTTTTTTTGTAGAGATGGAGTCTTTCTATGTTGCCTAGGCTAATGTATTAATTAAAAACTATACAAGTATCTCAATAGATACAGAAAAACTTTTAACAAAATTCAACATTGATTCCTGATAAAAACTGTTATCCAAGTAGGAATAGAAGGCAGTTCCTCAATCTTCTAAAAGTCATCTACAAGAAACCATCAGCTGTTGTCATAATTGTGAAAAGCTGAATTATTTCTTCTCTAAAACCAGAAACAGTACGAACGTTTCCACTCTCACTATTCCTATTCAGTACTGTCCTATAGGTTCTAGCCAATGTAATGAAAGAAGAAAAAGAAATAAAGATAGCTGGACTGTAAAGGAGGAGGTAAAACTGTCTTTAGTCACAATTGACATAATTGTCTATGTACAGATTTTGATGGGATCTACCAAAATAATTATTAGAACTAATATATGTTTAGCAAGTTTGTAGGACATAAGGTCAATACACAAGAATAATTGTATTTCAGTATACTATAAACTAATGAGTAAGTATTAAAATTAAGAAAACATTGCCATTTACAGTAGCATCAAAATATAAAATACTTAAACATAAATCTAACAATAATGTACAAAATTTGTACATTGAAAACGACATACTTACGATGAAATAAAGGAAAAAGATACCTAAATAAATGGTGAATTATACTATATTAAGGGGCTAGAAAACTCACTATTGTTAAGATGTCAATTCTCTTCTAATTGATTTGTAAATATAGTGTAATCCCAATCAAAATTTCAGTGTAGGCTATCTTTTTAGAAGTTGACAAACTGATTATAAAAGTGATTTGAAAATGGAGAAGACCTAGAATTGCTCAACACTATTAAAAAGAACACAATTGGTGGACTTAAATTCTTCCTGATTTCAAGACTTAATATAAAGCTACAGTAACCGAGACAGTGTGGTGAAAGTGTCAAGATAGACATAGATCAATGGAGAAGAATAGAGTCCAGAAATAAATCCGTATATATATGAAGAATTAATTTTCAATATAAATGCAAAGGCAATCCAGTGAAAAGGGATAATGTTTTAAACAATGGTGCTGGAGCAATTGGATATACATCTACAAAAAAGTAAAAAATAAAAAACAACAACAAAACAATTTTAATCCATACCACGCACCAAAAAAAAAAAGGATTATAATTTTAAATGGAAAACCTACAACTATAAACCTGCTAAAAGAAAGCATAGGAGAAAATTTTTGTAGCTTTTAATTGAGCAAACATGTATTAGGTAAAGCACTTAAAGCAAAATCTACACAAGAAAATGTTAAGAAATTGGACTTCATAAACATTTAAAACTTCTGGTCTTTGACACGGTTAAAAAATGAATGAAAAGGCAAGCTACAGCCTGGCAGAACATGTTTACAAATCATATTTTTCATAAAGGACTTGTATTCAGAATATATTTTAAAACTCAAAATTTAATAACAAGAAAAAAATTCAATAAAAAGAGGAAATCATTTAAACAAACACTTCACTAAAGAAGATAATACAGATGGCAAATAAACGGATTCAAGGACTCTGGATATTATTAGTCCTTAGTGAAATATAAATAAAAATCACAATAAGATTACAGTATGAGCCTATTAGAATGGCTAAAGTTAAAAAGACGGAACTTACTAAGTATCGACCACGATGTAGTAAGAATTCACTTTGGAAAACAATTTGGCAGTTTCATAGAAATTTAAAGTATATAGCTACCGTGAAATGCAGCCATTCCACTCCTAGGAATTTACCCCACAGAAAAGAAATCATGTGTCCAAATGTCTACATGAGGGTTTTTTTTTTTTTTTTTTTTTTTACCGGCTTTATCTGTAATGAGAACAAACTAGAAACAACCTGAATGTTCACCAATAGGTAAATGGATAAACAAATTGTAGTATATTTATATAATACTACTCAGCAATATAACAGTATGAACTATTGATGAATACAAGAACATTTATGAACATGGGTGATTCTGAGTTAATTGTGCTAAGGCAATAAAACCGGGCAAGGTAAAGTAGATACTATATATACTGGAGTAGTGTACCATATGATTTCATTTAGATAAATTTTTAGAATTAAAGTTAGCAAGTTAAATGTTGTTTTGATATAATATTAAATTTTTCAAATTTATGATGGATATGGAGAATCTCAATAGCTCCTTTGTAAAGAAATGCATAATGCTTATCTCAATTCTTAATATTATAAGAATGAATTATTTGGGATTTTAGATCATTTTTAAACTGGCTTGCGAGAGTATTAAGTCTTTTGGGAATCTTTGACTAAAAATTAAGGAATGTGAAGTTCAAAATAGATTTTTCTTTTTAGTTTTCTCACAAAGACAGTTTATTCCTCTGACTTAAATTGGATGATTGGCATAAAAGTATCAAGTAAGCTTCATGCAAGAAATTTTATAGAATATTATGACTTCAGAGAGCTACAGACATCAACGTTTATGATTTTTTCTTTCTGATTTTTTTTTTTCTGAAGGAAACACAATGAGGCAAATGTGATCTGCATAGCTCCACCCTTTGTGAACATCCTTGAGTTGGAAAAGTGCTGTGAGAGGCACGTGTCAATCTTCAGAAGCTGAAGTGACTTGTCTAGGTAGGGAGCATGTTCTGACAATGGAGACCTCCCCTGGGGATGTTTGCAAAGTGAGAGTTCGTTTTCACTCAGCCTCTGTATAATTTCTAAAATATTTTAAACCAGTTTTTATGTCATTTTGATTTTCAAATGAAGAATAGATTCAAACGTTTATGAGGAGTGAACTCATTCCTGAATTTCCCAATATATCCCAATATGTGATTTCTTAGAGATCATCGAAGTGCCTCATACTTGAAACCTCCAAGAGGTCATCTTGGAATGCATTCTATACTAGCAGCTGTGTTTTCTGGTGAGGCCTTTGCACACATAGATTCTTCTTGAAGAAGTTTGAGATCAATAAGGCGGATTCACTATGATCCGTATCCTTTTACTCATCTTGTGAAATTTTCAAATTTTATTTATTTATTTTACATTTTTTTAGAGACAATCTCACTATGTTGTCTAAGCTAGTCTAGAACTCCTGACCTCAAGCAATCCTCCTGCCTCAGCCTCCTGAGTAACTGGGATTACAAGTGCAAGCCACCACGACTAGCTTAATTTTTCAAATTTTTGAATTTGTCAATAAATTTTCCATTGGCATACCTTCACTTTATGTATGTATTTGTTTTAGACCTAAAATTGGTACAAAAAGCATCTGGGTAAGGAGTAAGCATGAAGAAAGATGTGTCAGAATTGGCAGTAAAGAAGAGCACAATGCAAAAATGTTTTTTTTTTCCCCCAAGGTTTATTTATTTATTTATTTTTATTTATTTATTTTTTGAGACGGAGTCTCGCTCTGTCACCCAGGCTGGAGGGCAGTGGCGCCATCTCAGCTCACTGCAACCTCTGCCTCCCAGATTGAAGAGATTCTCCTGCCTCAGCCTCGTGAGTAGCTGAGATTACAGGCACACGCCACCACTCCTGGCTAATTTTTGTATTTTTAGTAGAGACGGGATTTCACCATGTTGGTCAGGCTGGTCTCGAACTCCTGACCTCAAGTGATCCACCCGGCCTCAGCCTCCCAAAGTGCTGGGATTACAGGCATGAGCCACAGCACCCGGCTAAAAATGTTCTTTAAAAATATGTATACCTGTGTCTGTCCTCCTCACCTTCTGGAATAAAATTAAGGAGAAAAAATATCTATAATGTTGGGCTGCATTTAGGAAAAATGTATACAGCTAATAGAGATAGATGGTTTTTCCAAATACCAAATATACATGCTCCATCATTGGTATCTGACTTGTGGAGGCAGTAGCCAATTCAAAAGGGTGATCATTACAGTATTTAAATTCCAAACATAGTTCCAAATAAAAGGACAAATTCGGTAAGAGATAAGCTGGTGTTGGCCAAAAAGAAAAGACTCTCAATATGGCTTTGTGGATCGTGTTTTTAACAACACAAAGATTTCTTTAGTTCATGTTTAAGAAACAAATGATCAGCAGTTCTTTCTGGTGAGTTAGCAAAATGTCACATCTAAATTGATGCTGATAACTCCATACTTAATTGGATAGATTTGGTTAAATAATGTTCATAACAACAAGTTAGTCTTGAGCCAGCCATGGTAGTGGAAGTCACTCTCACTCACTAATTATTGTTGTTGCTATCAATGAGACCCTTTTTTCTAAAACTATTAAAGGGAAAGAAAGAAGATGGTTGATAGTCACAGAAAGAGTGTTTTCCTCCACTTCAGTTTTACCAGTTTCAGTTTTGTAGAATTAGAGCAGCATGTGTAATTGCGCTTTTTGCCATTCATCTGAGTAAACTTCCACAATTGTACAAATAGAGATCATAGAACACATCTTTAAAGCTAATTAAATCAACATGATGGGCTCCTACAGCTGCTTAGATTGTGTCTGTGGCTTTCCAGTACGTAAAACAAATGTGTGGCCATGGAATAATAAACTTCTTGCTTTTCTACCAAAGTAACTTCCCTCCTCTACAAATCTTTACTTACTGACCATCAAGCACATTTTCCTCTATTTTTGTTCTATATTATGGCCCACATTTTACACATTTTAAATAACAAGTTTTAGTAGGGCAACTTTTTTTTTTTCCTGAATACTCTTTTATTTACTTTGATACAATAACAGCTTAATTATTATATAGTAAGTGGAATAAGTCTTTTCTGCTAAAACTATGAGCTGAAGAAAGAATATGATTTCTATAGCATTGTTAATATTTAAATTGTTTTCATATCAGCTATCAATAGCCAAAGCACCAAAGTTTATTTTATGTTTATTATTTTATTATCTCCACTATGATCCTATGAGGCATTATTACCCTCAGTTATCAAAAGATGAAGCTGAAGAAAAAAAGGTGGAGTGATTCAGGGAAGGGAGAACTGAGATTAATGTCCAGTTCTTTTGATTTCCACCTTAGCTTTCTTTGCATCCAAGTAGAATATTGGCTTTGGAAAATAATTGGGGCCTTTTAATTGAGGGAATGGACTACATTCTACTGGCTTTAAATAATTCCTTTTCATATTTATTGGCTAGATATCTGTGAGCAAATTGTGGTCATGTCCTTTTTTTCTTTTTTGCTGACAAGGAAATTTTCTTCCTTACTACTAAAGAAGGAAGTTTGGCGCATTTTGACTTATTTCTTTCAGAAATAAAAATATCTCTCAGTTAGGCACATGTAACACTTGATTTCTTCACTCCTCTCCCAGAAAGTAGGGCAGTGAGGACTCTTCATGTAACTAAAGGCAGGACAATTTTCATGTGCTAGATAAAAGATAAGTTGTAAACCACTTTTGGTAAACTCTTTTTGTCCTTTTTGGGATATTGTTCTGTAACCATGCATACATAACACATTACATATACACGTGTGCTCACGGACACTTGCCAGATAGAGCTGGGGTGGAGCACAAGCCTCAAGTTTCATGGAAGTGTTTTCTGTTTTGGAGCAGAGAAGTGTTCTTCTAAGCCATCTGGCTCCTATTAGTGCAGGTTCTGCTGTCAGCATTTACTTAAATAGGGAGAGGCCCTGTCTATGTCACCCTCGGGAGGATCACTATTTCATGGCTAGATTGGTTTAAGTTTTTATTTATCTACCAGGACAAAATGGTAACACAAATAAATGCCTTATGAGATATTTTCAGAGTTTAGTCATAGTCTCTTAAATATAACTCCATTGTTCATTTCCACCATAGTCTTTATAAACTAAAGCAATCTTAGTAGACCTTCAAATAATATTTGAAAAACATCTTCTCCAATTATATCTAGGAATATCTTTAGCCAAATCCCGATGCACATTTCCTACATAATGTATCTATACACAAAATATGTATAGATATATATAGCAACATGGGACAAGTCATGACGATCCACATGACCACTGGAGAATGTAACTCTTTAAAATATTCTGTTCCGATTTTCCGTTTGTTTTGTTAGAACTAGTACATTTTGCAATTCTGTTACCATCATTATAAGAAATAATATGTGTGGTAATTAAGAACTTGGACTCAGGAAACAGACAGTCTGGGTTTGAATCCTAGCTGTACCACTTCCCTGCTGTGTGATCTTGAACATGTCACTGTACCTATCTGTGCCTTTATCTGTAAAATTGATATCCTAATAATAGCTACCTCATATGTACTTGTGAAGATTAAGCAAATTAATATACATTTACTGCTTAAATAGTGTCTGGTACATGAGTGCTCACTAATTGCAAACTGCTATTTTATTACAAGAGAATATAAAAAATGATCTTAATGTGCTCTTTGTATTTAATACTATTTCACCAAAGGTAATTTTAACTTAATAATTGTTAGAGTTACAAAGTATTTTCCATCTATGTATTAAAAAAAAAAAAAGACATGCAATTTCTTCTTAAGGCAACTCCAGTAATTGGATATTTCGAGACCAAGAAGGAAATAAGGTTACTTTATAACTAGACCCATTGGGGTTAGATGTAAATTCATTTCAAATTCTTTCAGAAAATTCTACTTTCTCTCTTTTAGTTATCCTTTTCATCCTTCTAAAACAATATTCCCTTAGGGGGTAGGGGGAATAACTTTAATCGCTATCTTCTCTGCTCCCTTACCCCAATTTTATTTGGCCAGCAAAAGTCTCCCGGGAATCTCAGTCAATACCAGTCTCTCTCCCTTTCTCTCTGTTTTTCATGCTTCTCATCTCTCTCTCTCTCTCTCTCTCTCTCTCTCTCTCTATCTCTGTCTCTCTGCCCCCAGCCCAATTTTCACTTCCCACTAGAAAACCTTTCACTGATCTTCCAGAAAGTGATTTTTCCCTTCTTTGTGTCATTACCAGATTTTGCTCATTATGACTTATTATATTGCAATTACTATTTGATATGTTTGTTTACCATGCTTGATTGTGACTTTCTTGAGAATACCAATCATATTGACCTTTGTATTGTCAACATCTAGGACAGTGTCCACTACACATTTTTTTAAATTCGGTACATATTTTTTGTATAGATAAATTATGTAGGAGATGTGCATCGGGATTTGGCTAAAGATATTCCTACATATAATTGGAGAAGACGTTTTTCAAATAAATATTATTTGAAGAATACCAAGGAACCCACTCCTCAAATTTGTCTTTTCATTGGCTTGCTGCAGTCACCTATAATCCCCTATTAGGGATCATTTAAAGGTCTTGGTACATGTTTATCTATTTAAGACATTATCTTGTCCAGGATTAGTAAAAACTAACAAGCCAATATGCCTATTAGCAAGGATTAGCTTATGTGAGACTGAAGAGATTGATAAACAAAAATGGTAAATTGTGATGTTAATAGGGTCTGGTGTATGGATTATTAGAGAGGGCATTGATCAGTAAGGGAGTGACTTAGAACCCTAAAAACTTTGTAACTAGGAGCTGGAGTTGAAGGGCATCCAAAGGTTGATAGATATCCTGAAGGCCAACTTGGCTTATGTTGCCATTAAGCTGAGATTTGGCTTCACTGAGTCACAGCAGTCAGAAAAGGGAGCTCCGGGTGAACATTTTGCTTGAGTCATGCAGCTCTCCTCTCTCCTACAAAGGTGGAAAACCAATGTCCACGTGCTAGAGCTCACTGGGCCCATTGCAGTTATACAGGACAGGCACTGCTTGCTCTTAGAAAAATAAATTAGATTCAATAGTGGGTTGAAAGTTTAAAAAAATGATCGTAGTTTAATACAAGACAGATACTCTGCCCTGTTATTTCTTGATTCTCTACTCATTAGAGTTGCTCAGAAAGTTAATCTATCCACACACAATTCATCACATGTGTTTATATTTCAAAAAGATATTGAGATGGGAATTACTGGTTTTATAAGCCCTGTCTGTCTGACTATTAAATCATTTGCAGACTGTCAAACAACATTCACTTTGGAGGGGTTAGAAGGTCCTAGAACCGCACTGCCCCCATTTCCTTCACTGGGAAAAGCTGTTGATATATGAAAAATAGATGTTTAAATAAGCTACCTGCTTTTGTATGAATAACTCCAGGCATTTTAAGCCACATGTGCAGTTGGGTAGAGGACCTCACATATAACTTTTGGAGCCAGTTTTATACAGTGTTTAAAGTTTTCTCTGGCTAAAATTTAACCACATTTGGAAATTCTATGAACTTTTAAATGAGTGCTCTATCATTCTGTTATTCTATGGCCAGTTTTTTATAGCGATAACTGCAGCATCTTCTGATTTGCCCCCTCCCTATCCATTTCCATAGGTACAAATAACAGTACCTAGCCTGTCTTTACCTTTCCATAATCAGATACATCACAGCAAGAATTGTCTTTGAGTGCAATTTTATAATATGCTGTTTCTTTTACTTTTATACACATGCAGTGGCTCTTCCCTCATATTAAGTCCCTACTTTAATTTTGTGGCTCAGGACCTTCTACTGTTTCTCAAAACTATAGATTGCCCTCTGGGCTACATTCTAGCTTATATCCTTTATTCTACCCAAAAGGCACCTAATTCCTACTCCGCTTACCTCACTGTCCCTCCAGTTAGCTTATTTTTAAGCCATTGTATTCTATTCTCCATGTCTAGAAATTCTTCCCTCTTCATCTTAGCCATTGTTTCTTTCTTTCATATAAGCCTTTCCACTGAGGCACTGATCAAAATAACCTGTGGCTTTTCAGTATGTAAATGTGTTTATGAAGAACTACAGTGTAATCAGTTATGTCAACCAATTGATCAACTGTTTAATGATCACTATGTTCTTACAATGTGGTAAGCATTATAAAGATTAAAAAATAATTATCATAAAATATAGTTTTTTATATATTATAAAAATACATAAATTATTATAAAATATAGTTTTTGTCCTCAACTATGATATAATTATGACTTGAGTGCAGTATTAACATAATAAAATTCTAAATACTGTGATATAGATACAGTTAAATATGGTAGAACTCAGTGGGTTAAGAACACTGCTCTAAACCCTAAGGACATCCAGCATTCAGTCTCTTAAGCACCTTTTTTACATTCGATTATTGGTGTCCCTCCTTCAGGACTAACCCTACCACGTTCTAGCTTTCTGAGCTGTCCAATATGTTAGCCATTTGTCACATGCGACATGTGGCTAAGGAACATAAAACATGTGACTAGTGTGACTGAGGAACAGAAATTTAATTTCATTTGATTCCATTAATTAAAATTCAATTTAAAAATGAAAATTCAATTCAATTATTAGAAAACTTTTACATACGTTTGGAGCAACTTAGGTTCATAAATCTACTTTTCCATCTGTAAATTTTATAAATCTAAATAAAGGCCAGTATTACCAGTGAAAATTCATCACCAGAATTGAGATGTGCTATATGTGTCAACTGGATTGTGAAGACTTAGTAAAAAGAAAATAATGTAACATATCTCATTTTTAAAACATTGATTGCATGTTGAAATGATAGTATTTTGGATACATTGGGTTAAATGAAATACATTCCTAAATTTTATTTCACTTTTTTTTACTTTAAAAAATGTGACTACTAGAAAATTTGAAATTACACATATGGATTACATTACATCTCAATTAGACAACACTGTTCTAGATAAACCAGATCTGTCCTAGATTTGTACATGTCCCTGAACCCCAAGGCCAGCTATTTCTATGGTGTCTCTTGGTCACCCAGAGTTCTAGTGCATTTTGGCCTTCTGCTGATTCTACCATATTAATCTACAGGTAGGTTGTATTTAAAAACATAGTCCTGTATTATCATGTGCTACTGTAGTGAAATATAGTGAAATACAGACTTCTGCTCAGATGGCCCTTTTGCTGTTTGTCTATTGATCTAAATGTTTTTATTCCTTCTTGTTCACTCTTTTCTTTTGCTACAATGGCTTTGGTCTCTGTACTAGGCTTTCTTCTTCTTCCTCAATCTTGTGTGAGAAAATGAGTTGCTTTTGGCTTTAGCTTCTTGTCACAATCCTTCTATTTCTGGGACAAACTTGTTCTTGGCTTTGGGCCCTTCCTTTCTGCACCCCTCCCACTGTTGCAGGTCAACTAGAGGATAATGCGAACCTTCGGGGAAACTGCTCAGGTTCCATGTGCATAAATCTAAGCAACATAGGCAGCGTTGCACTCATGATATTTCCAGAGCATAAGGCTCTGGGGCCCTGTGCTTTTTAATTTTTATTTCCTTAAATCTACCGGACATGGTCTTTAAAATTCATGTTTGCCTCACCATCCCGTTATTTATCATTAATCAGATTTAGATCCAAACTGGCAATTTCCTTAGGCGATTCCTCTTTTCTTTGGAGATGAAGTCCAACATCCTTCTCATATCATTTAACATTCTACACCATTTGACCCCAACTGAGTTGTCCACTTTGACCTCCAGAACCTAACTGTAGCACATCATGGTCTCTTTCTTTCTTAGCTCTCCTACCATTAATTTTTTATACCACATTTATAATGTAGCTCGTTCTGATTTTCAGTTAAATAGAGAGAACCAAGTTAACTGAGTTATGAAACTGCAACAATAACAGTACAATAACAATAGTTGACATTCATATAGTGCTTAGTGTATGCTAGGCACTGTTCTAAACACTTTATATACTTCTACTCATTTCATCTTCCTTCGGTAACCTATAAGTGTTGTTATTATCTCATTTCACTGTGCGAAAGGTTGAAGTACAGCAGATCCTTGAATAACATAGTTTCTTTCAACATTATTTCATTTTAACACTGATGAGGAAAAAAAAACTTCACTCTGGCAGGGGCCACTGTGTGTGTAGAGTTTGCACATTCTCTCTCTGTCTGCTTGAGTTACCTCCAGGCACTCTGGATTCCTTCCACATCCCAGAGGCATGCGCATTAGGTGAATTGCATCTGCGTGGCCCCGGTGTGAGTGAGTGTGGGTGTGTGTGAGTGTGCCCTATGATGGAATGGTGTCCTGACCAGGGTGGTCCCAGACTTGCTCCCCTAGGTGCTAGGAGAGGCTCCAGCCATCCAAGGCCTGAACTGGAATAAGTGGGTAAACACTTATCATACTTGTTTTTGTTAATCTTTCTTAAATGTGTGTATTACTCACATTTATTTCAATGTTTAATACTAGAAGTGTTTAAGGTCTTTATTTAGAAGTTTAGTGATGTTTTGTGACCAGAAATATAGGAACTTATCTCTTTCTTATGTCAATAACCTGTGATAAAATGTTTTGCTTAAAGTTAGTTTCTGAGAACCTATGGATGATGACATTAAGGGAGGATTTACTGTACAGGGAAATTAAATAACATGTACAAGACCACATAGCTAATAAAGGGTAGAGCTAGTATTTCAACATAGGCAATCTAGCTTTAGAGTCTATGCTTATGTATTTGAGCTAAATTGTTTTGGAAACTTTGTCTCAGGCACTTTACATAGATTTTCTCATTTAATCTTCACAACAACCTGTGAGGAAAGCTATTAGAAGGTAAAGTAACAAAAAGAATTTTGGAAGTAAAAGAGATTCCACTGGACTAGACATATGGCAGTTACTCCCAAAACATTAGTTTTGATAGTGCCCTACATCAGAAGTCAGAAAACTACCAGTGTGCAGGCCAATTCTGGTCCACTACCTGTTTATGTAGATGAAGTCTTATTGGATCACAGTCATGCTTTTTCATATATGTGACAACTATGGCTACTTTTGCATTACAATGGTGGGATTGAGTAGTTGAGGGTGAGACTCTATGGCCCAAAGCCTAAAATATTTTCTGACTCTTTATAGAAAGGTTTGCCAACCCTTGCTCTGCAACATACCTGAAGAGTAAATGAACGCTGCTATTAATGTTAAGATTATACAATAAAAGAAGTGCTTGTTTACTGCTTCCTGCCCAAACACCCTTTTATTCCTTTTTTTTTTTTTTTTTGAGATAGAGTCTTGCTCTGTTGCCCAGGCTGGAGTGCAGTGGTGTCAACTCAGCTCACTGCAACCTCCGTCTCCTGGGTTCAAGTGATTCTCCTGCCTCAGACTCCCAAGTAGCTGGGATTAGAGGTGCACACCACCACACCCAGCTAATTTTTGTATTTTAGTACAGACAGGGTTTCACCATGTTGGCCAGGCTGTTCTCGAACTCCTGACCTCAAGTGATCCACCCAAGTCGGCCTTGCAAAGTGCTGGGATTACAGACGTGAGCCATGCCGCCTGGCCCCAAACCACTATTTGTTTAAAGACCTTCTTTATATTATCTGAGGGGACATTAGGTGCTTCACTAAGAACTAATGGTTTTATCACTTCCTGTGGCTCACGTCAGCAAAACAGCCCTTCGTCTCCCATATCATATTGATTCTTTCTATGGCAGGTGTCGTGCTATTTGATTAAATTGATATGTTCTCGAAAAGCTGATATAAATTAAAGTTTGGAACATTGAAACACATTTTCTGTTCATTTGTATTATAATTTATGTGATGTTTTATCTACTTGAAAGGACACATAACTCTTTATAAAATGTTATGTGGCTGCTCTTTCATGATGCCTTCTTTCCACTCCCCCCAAGTACTAGCACTGATGTTTCTGTCCACTTGTCATTGTTCTATAGAAAGAGTTGAATCCCACTGTGAAAGCTACTATTATAAAACAAAAAAACAGGTATAATGATTCATAAAATGAATAATCTTTTTCTGATGGAAATAATTGACCTATTGAATTTTAGTATTAACATTTTCTTAAACTGAGACACCCCTATTGTGAGCAACAATGAATGTTTATGAACTACCTCTTCTATTTAAAACATTGTATTAAGTAGTATTGATGATTTTTCATCATTATTATACTATACCAACCAATGGCAATGCTAAAATAATAAAAAACCATCTTTGTTATATTTATTAAAAAAAACCAATAAATTACAGGAGGACTAACCATGTACTGGCATTCCGCTAAGTGCTTAACATGTATATGACTTAATTATCCCTTTAACTCTATGAATTCAGTTGTATTTTTGTCCTCATTTTGCAATGCATACTTTGCAATGTCTACTTCATAATGTATATTTGACATTAATAGAGGAAAAAGAATACAATTGTTTGAAATTAAGTATGTAAAAGAAGGTTAATTGATGGGTTTCGTTAATTTTCTAAGTGATGTATAATGCTGTATATCTAAGAGTATTATGATTTTTTAAAAAGCTTTAGTGATACAGCTAAAAAACAAAGATTTCCATGAATAAAGGATTACATTTGGGATACTAGAAGCTATCTTTTTAAGACCAGAAAAATTGAAAAATGTGAGATGAAATCTGTATATTTGTGGGTCATTCATTCACTTTTTATTTAGCATTTATTTATTGAATATTTACTATAGTCCATTTTCTCATGAATCTTATAAACAGGGATGTATTCAACAAGCAAGTAAACATATTAAATTGACGATTATGAAAAGGGCTTCAAACAACATGAACAGAGTGGTGATGTAAATAACAATAGAGATGATCATATAGGTTAGACATAGGAGACTCCTCTGAGAGGAAAAAACTTAAGCTTGTAGCTTGAGAATGAAAAAGAGCCTGCCATGGAGAAGGTATGGGAGCGGGTGGCACATGTAGGTAGAAGGAATGGCATATTCTAAGAGTATCAGTTAGTCTTGGAGCTAACAAGGCAAGAGGTTGACTTTAAACTCATTGATCCATGAGCTTTTAAACTCATTTAAACTCATTGATCCATGGGCTTTTTCCCCTTCCAGGAGACACTTCTGTGGCCCATCCATCTTTGGGCTTCTACAAGGAAAATTACAAAAGTTTATTAAATGTTTCTATCATCAGAATAATTAGCAATTATTGTAACTGCATTTAAAAATAACTAAAATATTTATGTTAACTAACGTAGAAAATGTCTTTTTAAAAATGTCAAACTTTTATAATAATATGAATGCATTGTATACCCATCAGCAGACTCCTGGAGGGCCAAATGTAAGGTCACCATGGAGCAGTTATAATCCTTGTTCCTTAACTCAATTCCCAGCTCAGCATTCTGTCAACTCTGTTTGTTTAGGCAATTTACATAACCTCTCTGGGTTTTAGTTTACTCTTTAGCAAAACAAGGATAAAGATGTATATTTAAATATTACTATGAAAATTGTTTAAAATATTTTGAACGTAACTGACACACTGTGCTTGGCAAGAAGTAGGCATTCAAATATTAATTGTGATAGATCTTTTATGTATGTTAATAATAACAATGATTCATATTTATTGAGAACTTACTGTGTACCAGGTGGTTTTCAAGAATTTTCAATGTTCTTAACTCATTTTATCCTCACAAAAATTCTGTGAAATGATTCCACATGTTTTACATGTTTTCTTATCTCACATCTAAGGAACCTAAAGCTGGAGATTATGCAGCTTGCCCAAGATCACAGAGCCAGTAAATGGCAGAGCCAAGAATTCAACCCTGGTGGTCTGGCTTTGGAGCTTGTGCCCTTAATGACTACCTTTTAAGTATGTTTTCTCATATAAAAAGAAATTGTTGAAAACTGAATCTTGTCAGTTTCTCAGGTAAGCAGCACAAAGCAATGTAGTACTTTGGGGTGAAATCTGAAGCTAAGAGAATGTGCTTACTTCACACAACCAATGCAGGCAATGCATTCTGTTCATAAGTGACCTCTGCAGTAGATTAAGACCAGTTTTCAAAAGAAAAAAAAAAAGACAAATTGGCCATCAAGATATACAGCTTGTTATTATAAAGAGTCCTGAATGTGTATCACATAAGAGTTTCCAGAGCAATTTATTGTCAAACAGATAGCAGCATGTAAATTTCCAAGAATCAACCTGGCATCACTGGAAAAATCACACCCTTGAGGCCTGGGTATTGTAGACAGTTCCACAGCAGCTGAATCATAAAGACTTTTATAGATCAATAACCCTCAACCTTGCTGCATTACAAAGCATCTTCATCAACAAAGAGAGTTTCAGGGAGCCGCAAAAGCACAGTGGAATTATTGGAACAGGTGGGTTTTGTGTGTATGTATGTATTTTATTTTTCACAAGGTTATTGCTGGATAGATACATCATGACTTAATGTTGATATTCCAGAATAATGTAGAAAATGATACAATGTCTAAATACGTGTTACTGACTTTTTCCTCCTTTTCTGGGGCAATAGAATGCTTTTCATACACATCCTTAAATCTAAATAAAGGATAAGTTATTGGAATGCATTTAGTTTCAAACAACAATGTGTCCTAAATTTTTATTCTGAAACTTTTTGTGTCCTTGAGCCTTTGTTGCTTCACCTGTAAACTTTAAAACAATAATAACAGCTTTGTAAAGTTCTTAACCCCCAAAGACATATCTCATTGAGCTACTTATCTGAGAAAAATATGACTGAGATGATTTATTTCATGGTAATTTGTTCCAAGTAAAGTTTAGATTGCTGGTTATCTTTCTTTACCATATTGCCTAACATAAGAGAAACAAGTAAATTCTTACATATGTCTAATGAAAAAGCAAAAAGATTGTATTTTTTGAATGACGATGGTCTATTATTGCTGATCGTATGAGGCAGTGTTTGAAATATTATACAAAACGTTTAAGAGACATGTGAACTGAGGGTGATTTTTTAGGTTGCTTCCATCTCATTGTTGGATATTGATTAAGGAGTTTTCAAAGAAGAAATTTTGAGTGCCTATCATATGGCAGATGTTTTATAATTCGTGTAAGAATTTATATGTTTCACAATAGTTACAATGGTATTTTTATCTCTGTGCTTCAGGTGTAGTTTTGAGACTCAGGCTCTTAGCTAACTAGTTGAAGTTAACAAAGGCATTAAGTAGCAGAGTAGGAATTAGAACCTATATTTGTGTGAATTCCAAAGCTCTCCTTCCACTCCCTTACTGCCTCTCTGTTTTAATTGCTTTGGAGTAATCTCAGCATAATCTATTTGCTTTAATACTAATCATCTATTCTTGTGATTACATAATGTGGCATCTACAAAAGTTGACTATGATGTGGTTGATTTGGCCCAGTGTGTATACACCCAGATGCTTATATTTAAGATGAGGTCTGTAGCCACAGATAGTTTAACTGATTTGACTGGTTAATATAGCAAAAACAAGCAAAAGAAAAAAAAATCCCTTTAACATTGTTTTTAACTGAATTTACCAGTTAACTTAATTAAAACATTAGACCTGGAAAATACATGTATGGCCAAACTAAATATTTACACTTACATAATAATATAGAAATACTAAATTATATCTACCCTATTTATTAAAATATAACTGTTGAATTTAATAGTAAATATAATCAACTATGACATGAAGAAATTGTTTTATAATGGCAATGAAGATTGTATAAAATCGATTAGATATGAACATTGAAATATTTTTGGGTAAAATGACACGATGTCTGGAATTTGCTATAAAATATTCCAGCAAAGAATAAAACAATAAAAGGAACATGATTGGTGAAAAATTGATAAAGCTGAGTGATGAGTAGGTACATAGAGTTCATCTTTTTCACACATGTGAAACTTCCACCATAAAGAGCTTGGAAAAACAATCAACTAATTCTATATACACTAGGTTGAGGCAAAGAAACAAGATAACTTTGATTGCTTTGATTGAATATGGGTTTAGAATTTTAGCAGTTTCATGTGTTGTTAAAAGGCATCCAGAATGCATATTCTCAGGACGCACTGATACTTTTCAATGTTTTAATAAGATATAATTTAATGATATAAAGGTATGAATTTCAGGAAAACATGATATTGTATATCCCTGACCAAAAGAGACCTGGCTTTGGGATCACATTTACATTCAAATTTTTATTCCCTTGAACATAGCACTATAGTATGACTTTAGTACAAATATTGTGTGTTTCTCATTTAATTTTAATAAAAACTAAGACTTTCTCTGGAATAATATTTATATCCTAAAGAATGATGGCATATTGCTTCATTGTATGTCATTAGCCCTTCATAATTTTTTTCTTTTGTTCATCATTTAAAATGTCATTAAAACAATTACAGCCTACACTCTGCTGAATCATATAATTGGAGATGTCTTATTAAGATGAGATTTACTGTATAACTTTATTTTTAATATACGAGAAACCAACATTTTTTAGTTTTATGCTTTTAAAATGTGCAAATGAATGAGTTCTCTCTCCTTTATTGCTAAAAGAATAGTTTTAATTACTTGCGTTTTTTTCACTCATTTTTTGAGAGCATTTTTTTTAATCACCAAATTAAATCAGCAGATTTTCTATTAAGCCTCTTTCTTTGGCCTTAGGCAAATTGTGAGGTAAATTTGATTGTGGTTCCCTGCAAGCCTTCCTTCTGCAGTTTATCTCTTTCTTGTGGCATTCCTTTCCTCCCAGGAGCATCAAAGTATCATTAGAGTTGAAGCTTGCTTTCCTTCGCTGCTGGCTTCTCCTCCAGTCTCTGAATCTCTGTCTTCACTCAATCTTTCCAAAAAATGAGGAATCAATTGCAAGTAGCCAATGCATCTATTTGGCATCTTGCTAATGAATATTAGCAGTTTAAAGGTTAGCATGCCTTGGTAGGTCTTCAAGGGAGTGCAGGAGTTCCAAGCCACACTTTCTTCATCTGTCAGTTTTAACCCAGATAAGCAACTTAATTTTCATATTAAATCAAACAGATATATTGGGGAGCAGGAGGCACAATTTGCATTCATGTTAAAGCAATATTAGAAGACTTCAAAGAAATTTCAGATGGGAGATGGGTTGCTTTGGGAGATGCCCTCCAACTCCAGGGTGTATGTATTCACTCTTCAGTTTCGTCCTGACCAGTGATGCCTCTGTGGAAAAGTTTGAGAAGGGCCAGAATGTGACCTCTCTCATGTACATTTATGTTCTCTCTTGGTTTTAATAACGTGGCCTTTATGGCATTCTAAAAAATGGTGGAAATATAGATACTTTTGAAAAGGATGAGGATCTTACTACTTTCAAATTGCTTGTTTATAGTTACTTTCACTTATAGAGATTCTGGGGCATTGATCACATATGTATTTTGCTATTAATCTGACTTATTCAGAACACTTATAGAGATCAGATATCTAGAGCACATGAACAAATCATTACTCTAGAGAGACATGGTCATTGCCTTTTAGCAATGTACACCGTATCAAGGAAAATTATAGAACAAAACCAAAAATCTATGTGTGCAATACTGTATAGGATCAAGAGCTAGTTGATATAGCTGACACCAACAATTCTCCAATATTTTATGGAAATTAGAGGAAAGGCATGCTTCAGAACAGGGATATAAATGACACATTCTTCCTTTTTCATGTCCTATATGAAATATATTAAAAAGTGCACCTTGTTCTAAAGTTTACTTTTCTTTTAATTATTTTTAAAAAACAGCATCTGAAAGATAAAAAATGTATCAAAAATAGAACAATATTTTCTTGACTGAAATTCCATTGTACTCTAAATGATTTTCTCATTAATACTGAGAGCCTTATTAATCCAAAAATTGGACTTGAAAATTAATACAAAAATAAATGGAAATGTAAAATAAAGTATGTTAAATGAACATTTCACTGGAATAGATGCCTGCCAGTGGGTTAAAAACAAGAATCTCTGAGTCTGAATTTTCATTTAGTCTTTTGTATTATAGTTAATATGAAAATTAAAAAAAATAGAGGGAAACAGAAGGCTCTTTGCTGGAAAATTGAGTTCCTTGGGGAAAAGAAAACAACAGGAGAGAGACCAATTTAGTCAGGGCAAGTTATAATACACCAATCATGATGATTGATCCTGCGCAAGCAGAAGGCACATGGAAACAATTTAAATGTTGTCCATGAAACTACTGCTTTCAGACCTCATGGGATTTTATTTATCAGGATCACTGATTTCAGAGGCACCGTAGAGCCAGGAAAGAATAAGAGGTTTGGAACGTTGTTCTTTGGGATTCAAGGTGGAAAATGTACAAAAAGAAGGGAAGCAGTTGGTATCACTTCTTGTCTCTTTGTCTACTGCTTCTGTAACAGAATTTTCCTCTGAACCTTATATTCAATGCTTAATTTGAATAGTCCATGTAGTTGCATTTTGAGAATTTGGAAAAGGCATTTTAGTTAGCGCCCCATCCTGTCCCTGTATTCTTTTTCTTTAGCTAACTCCAATTCTGTCTGGCAGGTAGGAATTCATTTAGGTGGGCTGCTTTTTAAAAACTAAACAAAAAACAGTCATTACTACTATTATGCAGGTTTTACATATAAATACTCTGTTTTGAAAAATGACTCTTTCTTGGAGTCACTTGAAGGTAAAACAGCCTATGTTTATACATGCACATTTTTCTCCCTTACACATATGGAAGAAAAGTAAAACCGTTGCAAAATTATGACACTTTCAAGCAAATTCTTTTTATGATTAATTTCTTGCTTTTATTTAAGATAGATTCTCCCCCAATGTTTATATTTTGATTTTGAGGGAAAAAGTAACATTTTTGATGATGCCATTTAGTAAAGGGATTATCTGATTCTCTAAGGTTCTTGGGGCCCATTGGGCTCAGGCAGGAATTTTTTGGTAGTATGCTAGACTGATTCTGATTGTGAAGATTGTCAGACACCTGTGATTGATTGAAAGGAAGAAAAGCATTCCTCTCAGCTGCTAGTAGAATAGGATGTTTATTTTTAGTTGACTTACTTTTTTTTTTTTTACAAAAATGGCAAAATTGGTGATTTGACTAAATTGACTCATTCAGAACACTTATAGAGATCAGATATCCAGAGCACATGAACAAATCCTTTTCTTTAGTTTTGCATTGGTATCTGAATGCTGGCTTTCCTGTTTACTGGATTAACATCACTAAACTTTAGCTTTGCCATCTAAAATGAAGAATAATAATACTACTTGCCTCATAGAGTTTTTGTGTTATTTAAATGAGATAATTTGGGAGGCCAGCATCAACAGCTTCAAGATGAAGCTGAACATCTTCTTCCCAGCCACTGGCTGCCAGAAACTCATTTAAGTGATTGATGAATGCAAAATTCTTACTTTTTATGAGAAGCGTATGGCCACAGAAGTAGCTGCTGACGCTCCGGGTGAAGAATGGAAGGGCTACGTTGTTTGAATAAATGATGGGAACGACAAACAAAGTTTCCCTATGAAGCAGTGTGTCTTGACCCATGGCTGTGTCCACCTGCTACTGAGTAAGGGGCATTCCTGTTACAGACCAAGGAGAACTAGAGAAAGAAAGCGAAATCTGTTAGTGGTTACGTTGTAGATGCCAATCTGAGCGTTCTCAACTTGAGAGAAGGATATTCCTGGACTGACTGGTACTACGGTGCCTTGTTGCCTGGGGCCCAAAAGAGCTAGCAGAATCCACAAACTTTTCAATTTCCCTAAAGATGATGTCTGTGAGCATGTTGTAAGAAAGCCCTTCAACAAAGAAGGTAAGAAACCTAGGACCGAAGCACAGAAGATTCAGCGTCTTACTACTCCATGTGTCCTGCAGCACAAACAGTGGCGTATTGCTCTGAAGAAGCAGCATACTAAAAAAATCAGGAAGAGGCTGCAGAATATGCTAAACTTTCGGCCAAGAGAATGAAAGAGGCTGAAGAGAAGCACCAGGAACAGAGTGCCAAGAGATGCAGACTCTTCTCTCAGCGAGCTTCTACTTCTGTCTGAATCCAGTCAAAAATAAGATTTTTTTGAGTAACAAATAAGATCAGACTAAAACAAAAATAAATGAGGTAATTTATGACTCTAATGCCTAGGTCGTAAACATTAGCTATTATCATTCAGATTCATAATTATATATCTAGATTTCTATTCTCCTTGTAGGAACAGAGTGAAAATGCCAAATTGCTTATGGAGAGAGAGAGGAAGGCATTTCTTCTTTCATTATAGAGATTGAGAAGCTTGGACACAGGGCATTCGTGGACACGGTTATCTACTACGTGGCTTCTTTTTCCGTTTTGTTTCTACCATCCACATTTCTCCACCCCTAACCTTGCCAGGCTCTTCTCTTTTCCTGTGTCTGCTTTCTCCTTGCTTATACTCCTCTTCCTCCTTGTTACTTGAAATTCCGTAAAATATTTTTTCTTCCCTGGGCCTTTGGACATGCTGTTCTCTCTGAGTGGGATGGTCTTTCCCTCCAATCCCTCTGTTCATTGAATTTGAAACTATTATTCAAAGCAACATGTCTTACTTCTATATTTTCTGATTCACTACTGGGTGTTCTTTGCCCTTCTGTGAGCACCACTTGTATTCTGAACCTCTCTTCAAACCATTTCTTGAACTGCGATATTGGTTATTTATGTACTTGATTTTATATACAGACCAAATTGCATATTCTCTCTGGGTAATGGCATAGGAAAATGACATAGGTAGGCAGTATGAAGAGATCCCTTCAATAACCATTTCCAAATAACTATAAGGAAATGCTAATAGATATGAAAGGAATGCTGCTGACTTACTTTGAGGAAACTACAAGTACATCAACGTGGTAATATCAAAGGGAATCTTAGAATGACAGGATTTTAGAGAGGATCTTAGGAGGATGATAACAGGAAAACATTTAACTTCTCAGGGATTAAATTTCTCACAGAACTGGATTTCCATGCGGATGCTCTATCACATCTTCCCTGGCCATGAGTTCTCTGCCTTCTCAACCCTTGACTTCCAGGGTCTTCCTCAATAATAAAGCCTAATGTGGATTCTTTCTGGGGATAATTATCCACCAAAGATGGGAAGGTACCATGGATAGCCTAGAAATTTATGAATCTCTAGTCCATTTTGTTGCCCACCTTGTGCTCCACTGAGTGACATCAGTGGCTGTGGGACATACTCTGCCATGAGGCAGACAGTAAATTGACACCACATCCACTTTCCAGAGTCCTGAATAAATAAGTGGGGGGCCAGGAGAAGAGCATATGCTCTTGATGTCTTAGTTAGCATTTAAGTTATTCTTAGATATAAAATAATATATATGGCAGGCTCTATCCCCCAGCTTATTTGGTGCACAACAGTCTTTCACTCAGCAACCAAGCTGGAAATTGTGCTCCTATTCTCACTCAGCTCCTCCCACTCCCTGGTGCTACTCAGTGGACCTCCTGGATATCTAATCTACTCTGTACACTTGTCAGCATCCCTGCCTACGTCTATGCCTGCGCTAGCTTTGTAACTAAACTGAATGATGCTTTCACTCTAATCTATTTTTTTCACTCAGACAGGAGTTCTTTTTCTAGGATCCAATTGTTTTATGGCATTACCCTAGTAAAAACTGCCAAGAGCTTCCACCTTCTTATAGGATTTTGTCATGTAACCCCCTTCCCAATCTGGCTAGTTTGTGTTTTCCTATTCCTAAGATCCTCTCTGAGATCCTGTCATTCTAAGATTCCCTTTGATTTTCCACATTGATGTACTTGTAGTTTTCTCAAAACAGCATGTCATTTCATATCTCTTAGCATTTCCGTGTCTTGTTACCTGCCAAGAATGCCTTACCCTGAACCCTACTCTCCTTTACCCAGCTAGTTCCTACTTATTGTTTAAGATCAGCTTCAAATGAAATCTTCCCCTTTATATTTCTGTGTATCTACAACACTGGGTGTTAATACATTACAGTATTTCTCACATTAAATTCTAGCCATTTGCACAGTTCTCTCTCACTAGACTCTGAGCTATTCATTTTTATAATCCCACCTTCCCACACATTTCAACCATCTTTTCTTCAATCCCTAGCAGTAGCTATTATATAGTAGATGCTTAATTTACTCAAAAATTAAATCGAACTGTTAAATAAGAATGACTACAATTTAAATAAAATATTTAAATATTTTAAATGAATAAATTAATTTTAGAATAAATATACTGAAAATTCTATTAATGTGAACCCTAATTGACCAGTTCATTTCATAGAAGAGTTCTCAGTTATATTCCTCAAATAAATTTCCTAAATAAGAGCAGCTAAATTATATTTTCTTTTTAAGTTATAAACACTTGAAGTTCTCAAGTTGAAAAACTTGGATTATATTAATGATCATGCATAATGTATAAAATGATCACTTATAAAGTTAATTTTTAAAAGTTTGTAGATTAACAAAGCAGATCTACTGACTTTTGCTAATGTTCTAGCTAGTGAACTGGACTTTGTAATCCAATTAAAATGTTTGTTTTTTTTTAAAAAAAACTCCAAACTTTCTGTGTCTCTGGAGTGCTCAGCTATAGTGTATGATTAGTTAAGAAAACATGCATATGATCACTTAGTTGGTTTGCCTTTAAGTCTCAGCTTTTCATTTTTGAAATTATCTTAAACAGTATTTAGACTTTGGAGTCCTGTACTGTTTTTCAAGTGTTAATGGAAAAAAAAAAAACAAAAAACAAAAAACTTCAAAGACCTGGGCCCTTTAGTTAAAAAAAAAAATAATCTGAAAGTTCTCACAGTTATTGGAGATTTATCTGGTTTAGCAGAAATTGTTTGAGTTGTACGGTCATCTTATTGATTTTTTATTTTTTTTCAACAAGATTACTCATTGGAGACTAGGAGTTCTTGATATCCAATTTTAGTACCTCATCTTTCCTCTACCTGCAAAAAAGGATTTTTTAAAATGCTGTTTGAGCATTTTAAAATTTTTGGAAAATAGTTTTCTGAATATCCAGCATTAGTTTTTCACTTCTGTTTCTTTGGGCAGAAATGAAGATTATGAAGAAAACTGCCGAAGAAGAGTTAAATAATCACCCTTTTCTGAGCCAAACCCAGGGCCTCTTGGTTTGGGTGAGATCAAGTATCAGCACAACATTTTTTAATTTGTGTCCTTTAAAAGGGTTCTTTTCAGGACACTGTGAGGAATGTGAGGTTTGGCTTCCTTTTTCACGTAGGAAGTGCTGAAAGGAACACTTTATGCCTTTTATGACTATATGTCTCATGAAGAATTTTTAACTTTGTCATGGTGTACAACTAGAATAGTATTTATTAACTTTTAGCTCGATAGAGCTGTGTGCATCTACAGCCAGGCCCAGCTACTCCTCCTCCATCAGGTGCTCCTATATCCATCTCCTTTATTCCCTCCATCTGACCAGTTGCCACTCCTATTGGTTTCATTTGAAACGCCTCTAAAACACACCCTTTCTCACCCAGGCCTTTCTATCTTTTCCTCCTCATTCCTTGTTCTCTCTGGTTTAAACCATTCTTCACACAGCTCTTACTCATCTTCACCCCTTTTCCAAAATGTCCCAATTTATCATACAAATTGAAACGGTTTTGCCTAGTTTACAAAATGCTCCTTAATCTGTTCCTATTGTCTATACCCCGTCTTGATTGTTACTGCTCTTTTGAACCTACTCACAAATTTCCTGTTTCCCAAAGTAGTGAATTTTGGCGCATACTTCAGAGTCAGAGCTGTTTGTTAAAAAATATACATTGCTGACTTCAAATTTTGGGTTCCAGCTTGGGAATCTGCATTTAAGTGGATTCTTCCAAGTGATTCTTATGTGCATTAAAGTAGAAAGTCTCTGCCCACTTGCCTCTCCTGTCCTCACTGACTCTGCTTCTCTTTAAATTCTAGAAAACATGCCTCTTCTGCATAGGGTGAAGTCTCCAACACATGTTCACTTGTGCTGCTTTCTGATGATTTGTGTTTCTGCAACTGGAGTATAAGCTCCCTGAGGCAGGGGTCATGTTTGTATTGTATGATGAGGCAGAAAGATCACTGGGCTGGAAGTTGGACAAGTTGACCTTTATTGCAGTTTCTACCTATGAGGACAAACATGGGATCTTACCATCTCAGTTTGCTCATAGGTGAGGGTGAGAACTGGCAGCAATGATGTCTAAGTTCCTCTGTGCTCTAAAAGCTGCAGTGTCACAGTTACAGAAAGGTCAAGAGCTTCAAATCTTAGCTCTGCCATTAGCTGTGTAATTTTAAGCAAGGAATAATTTCTTCATGTCTTCAATGGGGGGGGTAACATATACCTTCTGAGGTTGCTATGAAGGTAATACATGTAAAGTGCCTGGCACAATGCTTATATGTAATGATATTTGCATATTATTATTCCGTGTTCTCCCACACCTCTCCTGGTGCTGGATAAAGACAGGCTATGACTTATTGGAAGATCACACTCTTTTAGGACACTGTCCTCTTGCATAGCTTCTATCTGTAGACAGTTTAGTTCAATGATAAAACATGAAACTGATTAGGTGCACACTTGGCTCCACTGCTTAATAACTCAGTGACCCTTGTGCTTGTTATTTTAACTTTTTTGAAATGGAAACTCAAATACTGTCTTTACCATAAAGTTGTTGTGAGGTTTAAATGAAATAACACATTTAAATGCCCAGCCAGTGCTTAACCCAGAGCGAACGTTAGCGACTATTAATACTTCTGCCTAGGGTTAGCCTGATTCAGATGAAAGCACACTGCTCTGAGACTCAAAAGACCTGCATTTGAGTCCTGAAATAGCCATTATCTCACATGATTTTCGACGGGTTATGGTATCTGCCTAAACTTTAGTTTCCTGCTCTGCAAAATAATAGTAACCCATTCCGTAGGGCAGCAAAAGAATTAGATAAGGAAATGCATGGGAAAATATTTTCATAAGGTGAAGTGCTACACCAGGCATTACTTATATTTATTGTTATTATCTTCTCTGTATCCATAAAACGAAGGAATTAAATAAAATAATAGCCAATTACTTTATTGTTTATTTAAAATGTACCAGGTTACAAGCATTTAATCCTCTCACTTAATCCTCACAAAATCCACTGTATATATTATAATTCCTCTTTTACAGCTGTGGAAATTGAGGTTCAGAGAAGCCAAATAACTTGCTCAAGGACTCACACCCAGTTGCAAAATTGGAACTGAAAACCAGGAAAATCGACACCAAAGAGCAAACCCTCAACCACTCTTAGATTTCTAAGATCCCTTCCAGCCAAGCAATCCTGTTCTCTTGGTCATGGCTCTTCACAGAGAGATTGGGCCTGGTGGTTGGAAAAACATGTTGGGAGCTTTCCAATTGAGTGGAAGAACCCCTGGAGTTTTAGAACAAAACCAAGTAGCTGTTAGATGGCTACACTTTGCCTTCACTGCAGGTTCCTGATTCTTTATGGTTGGACATAGAAGCTCCCGGGACCCTGCAGCCCTGCCTGCATCTCCACGGACTGGAGAAAGCCCAACTGTTTAAGTTTCCTCACAGAGAAGACTCTGGCTTCTGCCTCTCCTTAATTTTGTCAATTGCATTTCTTTATTTCAATGCCAATCTAGTCAGAGGTTTCTTCTGCTTCAGCTTCCATAAGCTTAACACCTTTCCACATCACGACTGTGACTGTTTTTCTTGTGATGACACATTTTAAATCTGGCATGTGTTTGTGTTTACCAAGTTACTAAAACCCCATTCAACGAAACGGACTCCCGAAATCTTATCTTTTTGTTTGTTTGTTTGAGATGAGGAGTCTCGCTCGGTCGCCCAGGCTCGAGTGCAGCGGTGCGATCTCGGCTCACTGCGACCTCTCCCTCCCGGGTTCACGCCATTCTCCTGCCTCAGCCTCCGGAGTAGCTGGGACTACAAGCGCCCGCCACCACACCCGACCATTTTTTTTTTCTATTTTTAGTAGAGACGGGGTTTCACTGTGTTAGCCAGGATGGTCTCAATCTCCTGACCTCATGTGATCCTCCCGCCTCGGCCTCCTAGGGTGCTGGGATTACAGGTGTGGACCACCGCGCCTGGCCCTGAACTCTTATATATTTTTCAATGATTTTTCCATTAAGTTGATAATTAAGTCCCCACAGTACTCCTTTCTCCACCTTTACCTTGTCTCACGTACAATGGTTTTTAAAAGTCCAAGTGTCTGATGATGTGCATCAGTGCTGAGACGTATTATCTCCGTCTGACTTTTGAACAACTATAGGTGGATTTATGTGGTTTTTCGCACGTTTACTGTAAACTCGGTAGCTACTGAGAATTATGGTTGATTCTTATGTAGCACTTGTAAATTTGCCAAGTGCTTTTATATATATTTTAGATCTCAACAGTATTATCCCCATTCTGTAAATGAGGAAACTGAGGTTCAGAGTGGTGAAGGGCTCTGCTCTAGGTCACAAAATAGAGTTGTTGGGACTCGAATATGTTTATTGAGTCCAGGTCTCATATTCTTTGCATTACACCACTCTCCCTATATATTTTCTAATCCCTAACTGGTCTAACTTGCAAAACGAGATTATGTAATTATGGCAGAAATACCTTACATTGACATAGTGTTTTATAATGCACTCATATCTCATTTGATCTTCACAGCAACCTTTGAGTGAGATTCTTTCTTACAGGTAAGGAAACTAAGGTTCAAGGGAGCTAGATGGCTTGCCCAAATTCACACAGCTAATCAGAAGCATAACCAGAATTATATTCTTCGTGGTTTTTATACTCTGCCAACCTGCTGATTGTGACTTGGATAATAAGATACTTTAATCCCCATTTGTTTTATTAAAAAAAGATAGGGAAACCAAAGATTAATACGAAGAAACCAGTCACCATCAAATCACATTCGCAATTATATATTTTCTTTTAAAGTTCTGTAATTGAAAATATTCTTTTAAAGATCTGTTTTAAAATTTAAGAATAATGATAGGGATTTAAGTTAATGATTGAAAAAAGCCCCTCCTTTTTTCTTTTAAGAAATGATAGAATTATTCTATTATCATATTCATAAGATAGCCCAAAATGGGCTTTTGATTAGGATTGCAATTAATGACTGAAGACATCTGAAATTTATATTCTTTCACTAATTAATTAATTTTTTCAATCATTATTCAACAACTGCATTGTAGCAAGTGCTATGCAACAATTGCTGCATTAATTATTACAAAAGAGAATTTGAGATACATTTATAAACAAACCAAAATCAAGGCAGAGTTAGGTAGTTTGGCCTCCAGTGCATATGGGATTAGACTTTATGTCATTCTTTATTATTTCCACGAAAATAACAATGTAGATTAGCATCACTCCAGCTTCATTTCATTTAAGCCAAAAGGGGAAAAAAGTTCAGTTTGTAGTTGGATAGTCTTTATTCCTCTATTTTGTAGCTATATAATTTCCTTTTCTTCCCCGCTTACCTTGCTGTGTGTGAGTGGGTGCCTTATTTGGGGTTTATTTTTATTTTTAAAAATTCTGTATTGTATCTATAAGGAAAAATATACACATTGAATAAAATTGCATTAAAAATTAACTTTACATTGTTGCTTTAGAGGTTTGGAATTTGATTTTTTTAAGAGAATTAGAATTTAATTAATTAAGGAAAACAGGAGAGAGTATTTGGCTCATATGCCACATGCTAATCTATACATCCAGAAAAACATACCAATCTAAGTTAAGAAGAAAGACAGCCTGACAGTGAGTGGGATAGTTTTAAGAGTGAGTCTCATCCGAGGCCAGAAAGGCACACATCAGCCAGGGTCAGCCTGATGGCTCTCAGCAGCTCTATGGGTCTCCTGTCATCTCATCAATTCTTCTCCTGACCCTACTTTTTAGGCTTCCATTCAATGCAAAAAATAAGTCTATAATTGCACAATCTGAATGAGAAACAAACAAGTCCTAAGCAAGTCCTTATTTGTTCAATTTAGAAACAGCATCTCTGGGTGACCCCAAGCGCAACATTGGCCAAAGGAGCTACTCTCCATTTTCACTTTATGTCGATCATTTTTTGCTGGTGTAAAAATTTTGATTTCCATATTTATATGTAGAAAGTAATAGAATTTTAATTGGCCTGACATGTTAAGAATTTCTGTAAACTAACATTGGGGTTTTCTTTGAATATCAAATGTTACCTGTGGAAATGGAATACTCTTAACTCTCACACAATGTAGTTAATTCATGGGCCTTTGACAAGACTGTAATGCTGGGAGACTCCTCATAGCAAGAAGTGATTTCTTCATTGAGAATCGAGAAAAACGTTCATGACTCCAGAACAACACTTTCTTTTTAATGAGAGAATATTTCTCCTTTGACTATAACTTTAATTAAACTCTATTAACTTTAATTTAATTTAAGCTATTAAATAGTTCAAATGCTATTAAACTCAAAGAACATATTTTTTTAAAAGGTATTTAGTTCCTGGGCATTTTTCCTTAATCTCACACAGCCTTAATTACTATGCACTTATTGTTAAGTATATCATAAAATAAAATATAATGTATAAATTGCATTAATCTCTATAAAAGTAAACTTGAGGCAGAGCCATAAACTAACCAAAATCAGAGGTACAATAAAAAGGCAAGGTACATAAAACATCTTCAAACACTTGGACCTCCATGGATGGTGAACAGATTTTATTGCATTCCTCTATTATTTCCCTAGAAATTAGAACAGACTTTTCATGTATGGTGCATTATTATGTAATATTCTCATTCTATTATCTTTTTATCCTGCCCTATTTTATATTCTTTATTCTTTTATTCTATATTCTTTTTATCCTGCCCTATTTTAATGTCTTTTCCCCAAAGTAGAGCTTCTCTGAATCTGTAATAATTTTCAGAAGTTTGCCAAGTCATATATTCTCCTTTCATAATTACTCGTATAATTATGACACCCTGGCACATATTAGTAACCAGGGAAATGGGGTTATTTAATTATATGCTAATGAACATTTGCAATTATACAATTTTTTAAATCCATAGGAAATTAAGAAAATGCTTTTCATCAAGCAGAGTATTGCTTGAAATCTATTTTTTTCAATAATACAGCAGATTAAATCACTAAATAAAAAGTTTCATTGTCATAGAAGCTATGAATGTTAACTCTCAGAATATGGAATCTTTGATTCTTGGATTGAAATCAATTTTGGATGTCCTCAAGTTCAATTTTTCTATGGCTTCAATAACAGATGTTTTATTAAACCTTTTCTAATTTGCAGTACACACTTGTTAATGAGACGTTGCTTAAATACCTCCAGGGATGTAATGTTTACCGTCAAAGAAGGCTGCCTGTTCTGATGCTGAACAGTGCTAATGATTAGCAGATATCTCTTGAGCACCTAATATGTGCAAGACATTCTTCTAGACATGATGTAGAATATAAATTTAAGTCAGAATTTACTTTTGTACATAAAGTGCTGACACTCAAGTAGAAGATATCAGAAGTCTACATTAAAAATGGCATGATTGGACCACAATATACACACTGCTCACATGCCAGTTTAGATTTTATATGCTCTGACCTCCACTAAACAGTTGAAGCAATTGCTCGCTCATTAGGGCAGAGATAATTCCATGCCACTCATCATAGCCTTTACTTTCAACTTTATCTCCGCTAGGTCCCCCAAGCTGCATCTCTTTGAGTTTACACTTGAACCTTCTCTTCCTGCCCAGCAACTTTTAATTGACAGCATATTTGCACAGGTGTCTGGGAATTTGATTTGGCACTTCCCAGAGGCTCTTGTGCCTGACTGCACTTTCAGTTCTTTGTCACTTCCTTGACTGGGCAAACAGTCACCACCCACCTGTTCAATTCCAGAACATTCTGGCACAGGTGCCAGTCCAGCCTCAGTGCTCCAGCCCTGCTGCAGCCAGCGAAGCCAAGTACATATTTCATGGAGAATAGTCAGTCATAAACGCTGTGGAAAACTGAATGAAAGTTCTCTTTTGAGAGGGTCCATTTTACTGTTGGAAAGCCCTTCTGGTAAAGGCAAGAACGACCAACCTTTTCAAATATGGAGATCACTTTTAACATCCAAACGCAAATGTCCAGTCACCTGTTAGCAGTTATACTGTGGCCTCTCTTGATAAACTAATAGTAACAATAACAATAATATAAGTTAAACATATTCAAAATACTATTATGTTATTTTCTATTTTATTGATTCTAATCTTTTTATTTTTTAAAACAGTGGCACTTATGCTAGTGAGATATATTATTCCTTCCAATTGTTGGCAGTGCTTTTTGTTAGTAGCTTTATTAAACGCTGGTAGTAATTCCATGTACTCCTGAGAATACATATTTCATAGAATTTGAACCAGATGATGATAAAAATACAATATGGACACATATTATGCAAGCTGATTATACACATTATCTCCTTTAGTCTTCAAAACCACTCTATGGGATTTGCACTATCACACTTTATTTTATGGGTGAGGAAACAGGTTTACAGAGAATGAACAACTGCCCTGGTCATAGAGTTATAGGTGACAAAGCTGGGGTTTGGCTCCAGGCTGGTCTGTCTTCAGGGTCCCTACTCTGTGACTATGCAATGGTGTTGCTCCAGCACCAGGAAGGTGGTTGCAAACAAAGGTAAGAAAGTCTGAGGTGGCTGAGAGTAAGAACTGAATTGAGAGTTACCACCATCCCCAGCCCAGCTGCCTCTGTTGTGCTAGCTGATATGTCAACCAGTCTTTAAACTAACAGGAACTGAAAGAAATTTATTTCAGTTTCCTAAAACAGCCACTGAGGCAACTTAAATTTTGAGTTTCAGGTGATTTTATTCATCCATACATGTTTGTTTACTTAGAGCTTTCAAGGTGTATGTCTATAGAATGATAAGCATCTAGGTTATCTGAACACATCCCTTGGTTTTATCTTCTAACCAAAACAAGATCATTATATAATTATTAACTTGGGTCTTCCAAGTGAAAACAAGGACAGTAAGAAGTTCCAATTATAACAAAGTATATGATGTTTCGTGGATCATAAACAGGAGAAGCAAATGAAATAGGAGTTAAAGAGGAAGGTGGTGTTATTTTGGCCTTACTATGTCAGATAATGCTTTATGTAAAAATAAGTTGGCATTTTTCCTGCACGTTGAATAATAGTTAAGCCTTGGGAATTTAGTGTTGATAAGGGGATGGGCCTCTAGATAGAAGGAACTTTCATTTATCATGAAAACCAGGACCTATTGCAGAGTAAATGGGGGCAGATTTAATAATTACAACAAAGCGATGAAAACACTGGGACTGTTCTGGTTAAACTGGCAGGTGGTCACTCAAACTATAGAGGAAAGGGTACAATAGCTAGCTCTATTGGCTACAACAAGGGAAGAGAATAGTAAAGAATAAAATGAGAAAAGTGCATTGGAATCATATTGTGAGGACCTTGAATGTCAGGCAGTATTTTATGGACAAAGTTTAGTCACTGAAAATTTGTGAATAGATGGATGTGTGATATAAACTGAACTGTCTTCCAGAGAGATGAATTTGACAGTAGAGAGTAAGATGAATTGAAGAGGGCAGATAATGGAAATATTTACTTGATATGGCCATGATTTCTCTTCCATCTACAAGACTTCTTAGAGAATTTGCCTCATCCACAGTAAATAAGGATAGTGCCATGTATCTTTATTTTTCCTGATCACATCTGATAGAACCAGGGGTGGACATAGGGCTTTTGTTGGTTCAGTGAGATATTTTCCTCTCAGAAATTTGGAATTGGGACCAGAAACTGGGTTGTTAAACTGTGGAAATTCATCTTTTTGGAATTCTTGAGGTGGACCATGAGCAAAAGGATGAGTCTAGCAGGAGAGTAGTTGCGTGTGGAGAGAGACTGATGCTGCAAATGTGCAAAGTGAAGCAGATATGTGAGAACAAGTGTGCGTGTGTGTGTGTGTGTGTGTGTGTGTGTGAGAGAGAGAGAGAGAGAGAAGGGAGGGTGGAAAAGATAGGAGAGGAGGGGAGGGGAGGAATGAGAGATGTTGCCTAATGGCTTTGAGGTCCTGGAATAACTCTTGTACATCATGCTCTATAACATTCCTCTGTGTTGTCATTGTTAACTATTTTTGTTTTAATATAATTTGATTCAGTTTATTTTCCATGAAAACAAATGAGCTCTAAGATAAAGTAGGAATAGTTCCCCAGTAAGTCCCACACATTGATTCTAGAGCTGCATTTTTGAACACAAAACAAATCTCCTCCTTCCTATCTAGCCCTTCAAACATTTTAAGACAGCAATAATGCCTATTGCTGTTTCCTACGGTTTCCTCTTCTTCAGGCTAAATATTTCTCTCTTTAACAACATCTGTTTCATCATCTGTTGCTTTTTAAAGATGACACTCAAATTGAGCACCTTATTTCAGAAATCTTCTAACTAGTGCAAAAATAGTCAAGCTGTGGCCTCACAACCCTCTTTTCACTTTTCATCCCTTGACTTCAGAGGTAAAAAAATTAAAGCACTTCCTGTCCCTGAGTCTCTTCCAGCTATGGGAGTGGGAGTGCAGAGGACTTGTAGCATGTTTAGCTAATATGTAGGAAGAAGTCCCAATAATACTTCTTCCTGAATAAAAGGGCAAAAATTTACTAGGAGAAGGATCCTTTATTTTTCTCTTGTCTAGGGTAAGGACATAATGCTTAAAAGTTGATGTGGTTTGGCTGTGTTCCCACCCAAAATTCATCTTGAATTGTAGCTCCCATAATCCCTACATGCCATGGGAGGAACCCAGTGGGAGGTGGGTTCCCCATTGAATAATGGGGGTGGGGTTTTTTTATGCTGTTCTCGTGATAGTGAATAAGTCTCACGTTATCTGATGGTCTTATAAATGGGAGTTCCCCTGCACATGCTCTCTCTCTTGCCTGCCACCATGTAAGATATGCCTTTGCTCCTCCCTCATCTTGCACCATGATTGTGAGGCCTCCCCAGCTGGATTGGATTGTGAGTCCATTAAATCTCTTTTCTTTTATGAAATACCCAGCCTCAGGTATGTCTTTATTAGCAGCTTAAGAACGGATTAATACAAAAGTGTAGCTCCGCTCATGCAATTATGAGGATGTGTATGCTGATGCCAGAAAATAGAGGGAGCCTAGGCCCTGAATTCTGTCACTGAGCTGGCATAGCCTCTATGGACTGCCATCACCACACTACTTGTTGCAGGAAACAATAAGCACCTTTTTGTTTAAAGCAATGTAGTACATTTTTCTGTAACTTGCATACAAATCATAATTGATAAACTTCCTAAGGCCTGGATATGATACTTTTTGTAAATGTGATTTAAGATTATATGGGCTTTTAAATCATCCATATCATATAAACACTGTAATTCATTCAATCACAGTGAAATTTTTCCTAATTTTCAAATGTATCTTCTGTGATAAGTATTTATAATTTCAAATTGTAAAACACAGAAATAATTTTACTCCATTTCCTAAGACCTGCCTATTCTGTATACCTGCTTTTCTTTCCTATGTTATTAAAAAAAAGAAGAAAAATCAACATCTAATAAATCGATAGAGAAAAACATGGCAGAAAATTTTCAAAGCTCTAAAGCTAGATTGTAGAGTAGGATAAACAGAAGAATAAACCAGGATTTAAACACAGTTTTCTTCTAGTAAGGACAATAAAGCATATTCCCAAGTATAGATAAAGCAGGCTGAGTGAAACCATGCTCTGAAATAATAATTAGTACAATTTTAAGGTCTATAACTGTTTCCTACTCTTATCCAACAACGGCATAGAGTGACTCTAGTCAAGTAGAAATGATGGTGTGTGTGTATGTGTTCAGTTTAAAGAGTGTTCAAGATGAAGTCCTACCCAACTCTGGTTCCATGTGGTGTATGTATGGCATGAATAGATGTAGAAATTCCCCTTCCCAGAAAGGAGAACCAAGGAGACCTGATGTCAGGGCAAGTAAAAGGCCAAATGGAAATCCTTGGGTCAGGAGTCATTGTGGACCCTGTGGGCATCAGCAGCAGGTGTAGGCAAGTGTATTAAGGCTCGGGGAGCACCAGTAGATGCAGAGGGAAAAGAAACCTTCGCCTAAAGGTCAAGTGCAGCAACACAGCTCAGTGAGACCAGTGAGGAGCTGAGGACTGAAAATGTCTCAGGGACCTCTCACTCCTGCCACCATAATGATTTCTAGAAATCTCATTGCTTAGAAACTACTTGGGAAGAAAGGAGAAGGTGAAGGGATGGGAGATAACCAAGAAAGCATGTGCACTTAAATAGACCAAGTTAATCTGCAGAAGGCTAAGCTTGAAACAGAAGTAGAGTATGTTACTTAGAATGGGTCTTTTTTTCCATTACTGTTCAAAGAAATAGGGGCTTATAATTAGATTTCATTTCCTAATGTAATTACATCTTAAATTATATCTGATTTATGGTGTGTAAATTTTAAAGCCACTTTAAATACAGATACTTGATTTAAGAAAGTGACATGTACAAAGTCAGATGAGGGTTTGAGAGGGGAGAGCTCACTTATAGTTGGGAGCTTAAAAGGCGACATTTGAACAAAGCCATAAAGGATGTGTATGATTTTTAACAGGAGAGAAAAGGAAGAGTGAAGAAGGGTATTTTAGAGGCATGATGCTGGAGTAGAGGAACAGGGGCAGCAAGGGAAAAGCAAGAAGCTTGTTGGTTGGAGGATATATATGTTGACAAAAGCATAAAGTTTCAAAATTGGAAAGGACTTTAGAAATATAAATTTTTGAAATCTGGTCTTCTCATCTTACAAATGAGAGCTCCATAATGTCATGCTCACATTGATAGTGAGGTTTAGTCTTGGCTCTCGTCACCAAGCACAGGTGAGTTCTTGATTTTCTACAACACCCTGCCAGGATTTCAGAGAGGAATAATGAAGGCTGTTATTTCACTGGCTCTGCTAAGTCACTGAATGTTTATGAGAGGATTTTAATGAAATCAGTCTGGTTGTAGAGTAAAAGGAAAGACTCAGGAAAGAAACAGATAGATTAAGGTCCAAGAGAAGTGCAGTTGTTTAGGGAAGAGGTCACAGAGCTAGGGTGGAGCAGTTGAAATAATTATAATTTTTGGATGATAACTATCATTTCTCACTAGGTTATTTCTTGAGGTTCTCTGGTTTTCTAGTGCCTAGAATAGTGTTCAGGAACCTTGAATGGACTATTTAATGAATGAGTGAGTAAACGCTAAAGTTAGTGGCCCTTCAGAAGGAAGTGTAAATGAAAAAAAAAAATACTTTTGTGTGTCCTTTATAGAACTTTTGTGGCTCCTTCAAAGGAGAAATGTTGAGTTTGAAGGAGAAATGTTAAGTTAGTTTGGACCTACTGGGTTTGATATAGAGCAGTGTATTCTACGTGGATTTCTCAATCAGGCCATTGGAATGTGGACCTGGAGCTGTGAGAAAGGTTAGGACTACAGATTTATAGATCTTGAAAAAAAAATCAGAAATATGGTGCCAGTGATTTTAAAGCTCTACACAGGGCTCTTCACATAACTAGCAAAATGAAAGCTGGTCCTTCTCTCAGCAAAGTGGACTGTGCCCTCCACTGAATATTTAGAACTTTCCTGTCTTAGATGCTGATCTCTCTTTCTGTGTTTTTTGTTTTGTTTTTGGGTTTTTGTTGTAGTGTTTTTCAGCACACATGCGAAAGTTCAGTAATCTTAACTCAGCGGTCATAGCTAAATCTGAAACTGAATAATGTATGGGTGTGGTGCTGTTTACTGGAACAAGTGGTTTATTTTATTGCCTAAATTTCAAATCCTTTAATATGTTTCCTAAGAAGTCATCTGATTTGGAAAATTATTGCAAAAATAAAACTGAAGAACAAGAACTAAACCTATGTCAGCCAGTTGAAGTGAATTATTCTGTATCTGTTTTTCTAGAATACATTTACTAATAGGAAATCAGTGTCTACCAATCTATACTAAATAAGTGTTGAACAAATATTTAAGTTATTAGTTTGAAGATGTGCTAGCATTGTAGCCTGCATGCCTGAGTCCTGCTCTTGATAGGGAGAAAAGAAAGAAAGAAAGAAGTGAATGAAATGAATAGTAGCCCACAAAGGAAGTTCAAGGAAAGGACTGTTTTTATGTTTTTTGAAGATGGGAGACCTCACATCAGCAAACAGCATTACAGCTATTGTCACATCCCAGATGTTTATTGTGTGGAATTAATGGCAGCAATGAGTGGAAGTGTTTTAGGCTTACTTTAACGTCACAACCCCCAGACTATGGATAAGCTGAGAGGCTTCACAGATCATCCTTTGAGAACCACCAGTCTGATGGCATCAACATTGACCTTGATGTCAAGGGACTCGCATTCTTGTTATGGTTCTGTCTGTGGCTAACCATATGTCCTGGGGAAAGTCATTTAGCGTCTGCTTTGGTTTCCTGTCTGAATACCTGACCCTTCCTGCTTTATGGGGATGTTGCAAAATGAGTAGAGAGAGGGTATGAGAGAATGCTTTGTATTCTTATAATAAAGGTGCTCTGTGATTCTAAAGGATTATTATTAATTCATCCAGAATAAAGAGTATAAACTAAGCTGAACAATAAATAGACCTGATGAAAGTGCTCACAGTTTCCTGCTTTGCATAACACACATCTCTGCCTTGGCTGCTGTTAGCACCAAATGATTCCAGCTACTTGTTCCAAATGTTTAATCAGTGATTTTCTGTGATGGCACATTTGGTAATGTTTAAAAGAATGTGCATAAAGATGAAACAAATGTTATCTGGGACAAGTTGATCCAAGGATAGGAGTTTTATAATTAAGAACAGTATTTTACGCACCACCACCACCACAAGCACCCAAACAACTGATTAAACGATGGAACAGTAACCAAGTGCAACCTGATGTTGGATTAAGATTAGCTCCATAAACAGCCAGCAGCAACATGTTAGCCTACAAAGGACTGAAGAATCTTGTGGCAAATCTTTAATTTGTGGCTAATGACTTAATCGATCTCATGCAATTTCAAAGTCAGAAAAATTTGAGGAAACAAATATATGAGAGGTTGAAGACCCAAAAATACAAGCCTTGCAACTTAAACCCTCAGCAGTTAAATTTATATTTAACAGTGATTAAGTATTGGGATCATATAAGGGGCCATAATTTCATCAGGAGGCATGAAAATGGCTATGTTCACTTTTTTAACTGAACTAAGCAGATTTAATGTTTTCCTAAGAAAGGATGCGAAATTCAACTGTTAGCAAGTCACAGATTATTCTAGTTGGCTTATGGTGGACTAAATAGAAACTTATTTTTAAGGGAGTGAATAAAAACATTTTTATTGGATACTTTCTATACTATCCCTGAATCTAAAAGTTTGTGATTTATAGGTTAACTATCCAAATTATATAAATATGAAAATTTTCTCCCTAAACTAGTTCATTAAAGAGTTAAAATGAAATTAACAATCTGACTCCTGCCTTCAGTTTAGCTTCATCTCCAGCTGCTCCTAAGAAGCCCAGCCATCAAGCCAACTGTGACAAGGTTTCTGAAGCTGCCGTGATTTTATAGGGGGTTGCCTCTGCCTGGAATGCCCTTTTCTTCCCCTGTCTGGCTAACTCCTGCTCAGGCTTAGAGAATCAAATCATCATTGCTTCATCTGTGAAGACCTCCACAAGCCCACTCTCACCATCTCTGCTGCATCACAAATGAGGTCTGTCCTCTTCCTTTATGTTCCCAGAGCTTTATACATTTGTCTTTATTTTACCCTGTATTGACTTTTCTAAACTTGCCTAGCCTCCCAACCCTATAAAGCTAGAGATCAATAAGCTATATTTTCAGTTTTTGATCAACCTTCTTCTCTGTCTCTATCACACACAGTTTCCTTCTGCAATTTTCATCTCACTTTCTTCTAGATCTACCCAGTATTGCAGACTTTGGGCTTGTTTCTTCACCTTAGTGTTCAATTTAGCCTTTGAATCACTTGATGCATTTAACTCAATTTCACTCTGAAGTGGATCTTTCTGCTTCAGTCCACCTTCATTGTGATTTCCTAGTCTAGCCTGAACTCTCACCTCTAGCACCTAAATCTACCTTGGATCTACTCGAATCCCAGTAGGATAGGGATGGAGGTAGAAAAGGCAGCTAAGGCATAGCTATAATAGCTAGTTACTTGTCTGTCTTCTCCAATTGACTACAAGTTCTTTGAGGGCAGGACTTTTGTTATTTTAATCTTGGCATCTAGAGGATCTGGCACAGTTCCTAGTACATCGTAAATGCTTGATAAATATTTATAGAATATATACAATTTATGTATTTTTAAAATTACTAAAAGGGAAATAAAATTTATTTATTTGCCACTTATTAATTTTAAAATAAATACATAAGAATTATTTGTTTTATTAAATAAATAAATAAGCTTCATTTATTTGCCATTTATTAAATGACAAACTTGGAGCATGGTATTACTTTGATATTTTAATCACTCCATTAGGAAATGTATTCTTCAACCAGGACAAAGTACGTTTATTTACAAGGAAGCCAGATGAAAGTATATAGATATATTGGTCCAAATGAAGCCCTCCTCTTTCTTCTCTCTGTTCTTTGCCAATGCAGGGGCATTTGATAGCTCTGAGAAACCTACTTTGAAAGCCTACTAGTTATCTAGCAGACTGATTTTCCTGTTTTTTAGTTCTTTATTTGTAACCTGTCACCATCTAGAATGGGGAACTCCAACATGAAGGCTGGCCTCTGGTTTACTTGCTGAGGAGACTAGAATCTGGCCCACAAATTCAGATCCTTCGCTGGCTTACTATTCCCTGTGAACTAAGTTCCTAGATAGCAGTGTCCACCATGCTGATCACTTATATCCCCAGCATTAAGCACAATGTCTATAACACAGTAGATGCTCAATATATGTATTTGTTGAAAGAGTTAATGATAACCTCCAGGGCTCTTGTTTGCCAAACATCTCCTGCTCTGGGTCCTTTGTCATCGGCCATACCCAGCCACTGGGAGACCACTATTCCACTAGGCAAACATTGCATCCTGCACATGCACGCAGACCATCTCTGAACTTTGTATGCTGTATCTGGTGCATCTGGCTGTGCTTTCTGAGCCGATTTCTATAGTCAGTGCTCTCAGTACTGGTTCCCTCTAATGTTCTGGGTTCAAATCACAGGCTACCTATCTCTTTGTTCCCCAAGCCCAAAGTGGTTCATTAACATCTCTTGTCTGTGATACTCTTTTTGATACTGAACATCTCTTAGCACCCAACTGGCCCACCAATGCTGGCTGAATGGAATTAAATTTAAATTTGCATGGCTGCGTGCTCCTCTCCCTGTGTTCTCAGGGACGGTGCTCAGAGGCCCTCTGATGAGATGGGAGAAGAACCTGTCATGGGCTAGGTTCAGGCCTCTGCATGCTGCTTGTGCAATCTTACAGATTCTTCATAAGCTTTGGGATAGGCCAGTTCAACAGGAACCCATGTCCTTAATAGGAAGTTATGAATTTTAACTAAGGTTAAGATTAAATTAATAATACATTAAACCAGATCTGCTTCCTAATTATCATTCTAGGTTGAAGCAAGTTTTTAGAAGTGAGGCAAAGTCAATGATTTCATTCAGATTTTGGATAGCCAGAATTCCAGGAGACCCAGACTCTTCCCTCCCACCTCCCTTCCAAGTCACTCCCTGCTGAAATAAGCCATGGCGGGAAAAGTTGTATTGTCTGTTTTGATATAATTTTTAGATCTCTTCTTCCTAAGTTCATTAAAGCTTTTTTTCCCCCTCCTGTAACAGTACGTTGTTAGCCTTGGGGTTCTGGCCAAGTTCCAATTTGAGCAATTAATTTTATTTCAGTGCTCAGCCCTCCCTGAAGTTTCAGACAGGAAAGGTGCGTTCTTTGTCTTCCTCAGCAAGTCACTCCTGATGGTGAAGCAGCTGTTGCTGCCTTCCCAGAGGAGAGAAGGTTGAGAATTGGTGAGAAAGCTTCCTGGCTCTTTGAGGGAGCTGCTTGCAGAGTGATCTGGGACAAAAGGCATCCTTGGGAATGTGAGGCTTTTTTTCTTTTTTTTTTTTTTTTTAACTACAGCAGTCTCCAAGCCATCCATCACTCCTCTTTTGAACCACTGGCTTAGCACAGAACAAAATGGGAAGTGATTGTGTTTTCTTGAAGAGCTGTTTCTGAATGTGATGGCTTCCTTTGAAGCCCAGTCAAAGGGATGTTTTTATTTTGTTTTTGTTTTCCTGAAATCCCACCAGTTTCCCTCACCTCCTACAAGACCTCACACCACAGCCTACCATCATGCCTGATACCTAAGTAGCTGCCTTCACAGCTAACAAAAGACAAAGAAAACACAGATGCAGATTATTCTAAAGGAGTAAGTTAAAGAAATGAAAGGGGCTTCCTTTTTAAGTTCAAATAGCAAAAGCAACTAATATACTTTGGAAAGCACACGCGATAACACAACACCCAAATTCACTTGGAGAGGTTCCCTGTGACATGCTCTAACAAGTCAGAAATTCAGTAAGTGTAGTTATATCCTGCAAGTGATTTTGAAAAGGTGTAGAGAATAACCCTTTCTAGATGCATACTCTATGTTTTACTTGGCCCAGACAACAGTGTTTGATGGAATGATAATTGGATGTTGATGAAAAACATCAATCATCATTGCATTGTGACTTGAGTTATATTTGTTTAATGTTAAACTTTCAGTTGTGAAATAAACCATTCCGGCTGGGGAACAGATGATTTTGTTTCTAAAACTTCATTCTTTCACTTATTAGGCAAGAGTGAGTCATTCCTTATAACAACTGGGCTTATTGAAAATTCCAGAATTACTCACACAGGTTTGAAGCATTTTTCATGTAAAGAAAACATCCTTTTTTTTTTTTGGTTGCTGACTGTAACTATCCTTTCTAAAGCTCATGGTTCTGGTACAGCCCTATTGCTAATACTGTTATTGTCCAGGCATGCTTTATGTATATTTGTATTCTTCCAAAACAGGTCATCTATACTGTTCTGGGATCAACTACCTTTGTATTCATTTCTTAGTGGCCAATGTCAGCCTCACAAACATACATCTCTACATGCAAACAACTGGTTGCACTCAGCTCCCTCCCAGGTTTAGCCACAATGTAGGAGAAACACTATCTCCTCACCATTTCATTCTTTCCCTTCCTGAGTCATTCCCTGTGGGGAAGCACCAACAAATCCTCACTCTTGTTTTCACCAATTACAAGTCAGTTAACGTTTTATCCCATAGATCACTCTCACATATAAACACTCTGCCTTTGTCAGTTGGTTCTGGATTCCCTACCATGTCCTTACTCCTTTTCCACCATCCAGGGAAATCATTATCTCCATCATTCTATTCACTGCATCATCAGGGATCTTATCTCAGCCTGAAAGTATAAATCTGTTCTTAAATATCTCCCTCACCAGACTGTAAGCAACAAGAGTGAAGTGTTCCCATCTTCATTTGCTCACTGCATAATTTTTTTTCCCTTTTTCCAGTGCCCAGCCTGGAAAATGATAATATTTATTAGATAAAAAAACCACTAGAAAAGCTTCAGGGACTTTTAACTTTCATTACGAAATATACCTTTCTTTCAAGCACCAATAATCAAGATGTTTAAGTTGCATGTAGGAACACAACTTTAATTCCTCATTTATTTAATTTTTTATTTCCTATGTTGCATTAATTAGACATGTGGCAACAATATGATTTCTTTTATTTTTTTTTCATTGAGATAGACATATTTCTGTTACATAGTGTGGCTGTCTTGGTTTTTGTGAACTACTTGGAATGTAACTACAGTCTCTAACATCATTTTAGTGTTGAAAGGAGACTTATTGAGTCGGGCATCATGCTAAGTACTTTTGCACATTTTAATCTATTTCATCCTCACAATAGCTATGTAAGGTTAATATTTTTTATGATCATTTTACAGAAAAAGAAATTGAGGATTGGAGCGGTCAAGTGGCTTGCCAAGGTCACACAGCTAGTTAATAAAGTTGTCAGGAAGATCTGCATGACTTTAAAGCCCATGCTTTCCCTGTTATATGACCTGAATTTTAAATACATGTTTTGAGAACAAGCAAAAAAGACATCCTAATTAAGTTCATTTTGGATTAGTGGGATCAACCTTCTAATGAAGCAAACAATAAAAGCTGCACAGCTCGGTCAACAGTTGAACTAAAACTTTTGTTCACCAGATTGACCATTAGTTTGCACTGACCAAATTAAATATAATGTAGTGTGGAAGTATTAATAGCTACAGCCATGTTTAACCAAAAATATGACAGTCTATTATAAGTTTGTCAATTGAAACCAAAAATGTAAACTTTATGATGTCGAAGGTCAAAGGCTGGGGCTAAGGGTGTCAGATGTCTGAGAGAGTCTCTAGAACCACAGAGAACAGAGTCCCTGTTTAATATTAATATTATCCAGTAATGACCCTAAGTATTAGACAATGGGAAATGTGTCGAAAAATATGGAAGTCACATGAAGGCAATTTAGCTACTCCAACTAAATTGAATCATTTCTGCAGAGTGGTAATTTTGATGGAATACCAATCATACAATGGGTCTCATCCCACAATACGTTAAAAGTGCTGCCTGACAGTTTTCAAATAGAAAGTTAAGTACCATTCTGCTCCTGAATGCAGTCTAAATTTTAATACCTTAAAAAGCAAAAAGCAAAAATACAGGTGTGGTAAGCAAGAATACTTTTTGTGGGGGTGGGACTGCATGACACAAGATGTTTAATAATTAAGTTGATTGGATTTTGCAACTTCCCATAAGGTATTTTGGCACTGTGCACTAATCATTACACACAGAATGTATTTGTTTAGAGAAAACAGCTCACAGATTCATTTCTTTATTTAGGTATGTACCGAGAAACATTTTGAATGGTCAAACTAAGACTTTATTTACATAGTTATATAATTTTCTTTCATCTTGGGATTTCAAAGAGCTTTGTGATGTTGCGTTTCGAGTTGATTAAGCCTCACAGCTTCACTAAACACTGTATTATAATATTACAGATGAACAGAAGAGGCAGAATTTCAGTTTCTTGGGTGGATTTTCTTTATGTTTGAAATTAGCTAATGAAGAATGCATGATGCTACATATAAAGATTTTCGTTTTTTTTTCTAAGATACAGTTTTTGCTTTGGGATAATTTTAGATTTAGAAAATGTTGCAAAAATAGTACATAGTTTTAATACATTTTACCCAGTTTCTCCTAATGTTAACACCTTATAGAATTGTGCATAATTCCTCATTTATTTAATTTTTTGGGTGCATTACTACTAAATGGGTACATTACTACTAAATATGCTACTGACTTTATTTGGATTTCACCAGTTTTTCCATTAATGTCTTTTTTGTGTTCTGGGATCCAACCCAGGATTTCACCTTGCATTTAGTCCTCACATCTTCTCAGTCACCTTGGGTCTGTGACAGTGTCTGAGACTTTCTTTATTTTCATGATCTTGGTAGTTTTGAAGAATACTGGTCAGATATTTAGAAGAATGCCCCCCAATTTGGGTTTGTCTCATGTTTTTCTCATGGTCAGATTGGGGTCATGGAGTTTTATGAAGTACTGTGACCTACCACCACTGGCGACGTTAACCTTGATTGCTTGTTTCATGTAGTGTTTTTCAGGTCTTTTCACTGTAAAGTTTTTCTCCTTTCCCCACTGTATACTTTGTAAGAGGGTCACTAAGTCCTAAATGCAGCCCAGACTCAAGACAGGAGAGATGATTAAACCGGCATAGGGAGTATCTACATATCTTAATCGGAATCCTTTCATAAAAGACATTTGTCCCTTCCTTTTTTATTTTACTAATTTATATCAGGATAGACTCATTTATATTTATTTTATATTTTGGGTTATAATCTAATACCACATTTTTATTTTATTGCTCAAATTGTTGTATATTTGACTATTGGAAGCTCTTTCAAAATGGCTTCTATGTAAAAGCTTGTTTTTGAAGTATTTATTCTTTTAAAAAGTCTACTCCAGTTTATTGTTATGCACGCATACATTCCACCAATATTCGGGGGAGGGGCAGGGTTTACAATGCCAAAAGTAATGTGCCAAGAAAATATCAACCTATATTTACTGAACTTGTATTATTTGCCAGGTGTTTATAGACATTATCTCAATTAATCTTTAAAGCAGTCCTAGAAAGTATAATACATTCCTTTAAGACATGAGATAACTGAGGTTTGGACATTCTAACCAGGCTCCCAATTAGTAAGTAGCAGAGAATTTTAAAGGTATTTTATCCTTTGTAGATAATAAACAGCATTTCTAATGGAAGGTGGTATATTTTAAGAGATTTAAGAATATGATAATTAAGAGGAAGTGTAGTGGGAAAGCATATCTTGGCATCAAACAAACCTAGGTCCTCTCAGTTGTTAGAAATTTCCAGTTTCCCTCATCCCCACCGTGATTCCTGGTATACTTTTCCAGCATCTGGTTATACTAACCACAAAAAATAGGTTACACATATCTATTTGGTTTACGGTTGTATAAATTCATTTTTGTCTTATGCCCCTATTTTTGTTTTATACCTGTATTTAAAAATATATATTTTAGCTACTGCTTTTCAAATGTAGTTTACTACAGGGCATTGAAATTTGCCAGCATCTGCTTCTCTGTTCCTAAGAATGTCCTATGCCCGCATTAGCCATCGAATGGTCGTGCATAACTCATGAGTTTCTTGAGAAGAGTTAGGATAATAATCAATTTGCCATCTCCATTTAGCACAGCCACCCTTACCACACAGTATACACACACATACACACAAACACAGGCCTGCAAACACAATTGCAAATGAAGCTCTATTTTGGCAAAAGCAGACAGCAGAGTTATGGGGGGAAGGTCGAACCCTAGAAGTAAGAATTGATGGGCAAAAAGTATTATGCATAAATAAAGGATGCTTAATTAATATTTTGTTTGTTCCGGAGTATGAGAAAAACATGGCTTATATTAAAGCAAAAGGGATTTCAGTTGGATGTAAATAAATAAAGAAGAATCACTTACAAAACTGGGAAATTGGAATATAAAGCCCTCACAGTAAGAAAATAAACTAGCCTTGATGAGGTGTCATCAAGAACATCGTTGTTTTTCAAAGAATGGCCAAATTTAAATAATTAACTAAGTAAATAAATAAGACCACCTATTATGTGCCAGACCATTTCTGGGACTTCGGAGATAAGATGAAGAGTAGTGTTTGCGTTAAGGAGGCATGAAAGTATTTCCTGAAATCACAAGTGTCAATAGAAAATTGACACACACAAACAAAATTTTACCCTGAATTTGAATATATGTCTCAATCAGCATGTAGTAATATTCAGTAATTGTGAAGAAGGTAAGTCACATGAGAAGAACACTTAAATATATTAATTTCCAAACGCAACTGCTTATCAACATTATATTACTGACATCTGTCACTGATGCAAAGGACTATGCCGACGCTGGGTTTTCTGTGTGATGTGGGCACCAAATGACAGAGAACTGACATCCAGCAACCAGCTCTCCACTTTCCAGCTGTAAGAGAAGTACATATCGTCACAGTGTGGCTGGCAGTGAATGTAATCATTGATACAAAGCATGGCACTAGGAACTGGCTTATGCATTAAAAAATTATGTTAAGGCTCATAGCTCTTCTCTGACATGTTTGTGGGTTTGTATGGGGTTTGTCACTAATGTAGACATCTAGTTTCCCGAAAATGTGAAATTCGGCAGTGACTTTTGAAGACCCTTTTCATTCTCTGATTGTAAAATTTAAAATTCATTTAATTCTATTCTTATTCTATTTTTAAACTGTGTAACACAATATGATTGTGAATTTAAAAAAATAGAAAAAGCATTTCTGGCCTATAGAGATTTGCAATAAATAGGAAGGATAGATATATGCAATAATAAAATGTGGTGATGTGGAAGAAACAATGATTTTAAGAGTAATTATACATTTGGCAGAGGTATGGAAGAGAAAGACCCTAGGAAATGCCCTTACAGAAAACAAAAATATTTGGAATTCCATTGTGTGTAGACAAAATTTCCATGCTACCAGACAGTCAGTTTAATGTCTCATATTTACATCCTAGGTAGAACCCATAAATAGTTCAAGTATTTACTGATTATTTCAGATAGAACATTTCTTCATAACAGAAAACTGACAGAATTATCTGATTTAGTTTAGTCCTTCTGTAATCTCCTGGATTCTTTCCAGAAGTAGAGTTAGATGGCATACTTGCAGACATGCTTATTCTTGCTACCTTGTTTCCTATTTACCTTTTCCAAACTAAAAGCATATTCAGCTAAGTTATGTTACACCATGGAATTATTGGCAGTTAGGTCTCGGATGGTGTGTAGTTTGTTTTAACAACCAGTATTTGAGGCCAAACCATAATACCAGGCCAGCACAGACATGCTTCCTATTAGCCCATCTATTTTAAAGGGAAACACACTGTATGCTGAACTAACTGAATTTCCACTCACTGCAGTTTGCAGCAAAACCAGCCTGGAAATGGCCTCAAGGGGACCTCACTTCAGATTTTATTAAAGTCCATGAAGTACATATTATGCAGATACATAAAAATAGATTAACAATCATAAAAGAATGACTCACGTTTATTACCTTGAAGAATAATTGCATAAGACAAAAAAAATGGAGCATTGCTAAATCTTAATAAAGTTGAAGAGGACTACTTCCTCTGTCAAACACAGCAAAACTAGATTTTTGGGAGAATGCCGCATTATATCTATTAGCTGAGCTATTATCATATAACATTTTTTTAATGATTTTAAGGTAATGAGTCAAAATTAAATCCAGAAAAATGATCATACTTACAAAGCCTTTGTCCTTTGTGGCTAAAATCCAGGTGACATATGTCAATTGTCTTGCAAAAAATATCCAAGCATTTATGGACAATAAAGTTCGATCCAATAGAAAGAAACCAAAGTGCAAACACGTTCATGTCTGTGTATGGGTATTATGGGCTGAATTTTAAAAATGCATATGATTTTTTAAAATTCCCATGACCTCTGAATGTATTTAGACACAGGGTCTTTAAAAGATAATTAAGTTAAAATTAGGTAATTAGGGTGGGCCCTAAAGGATATGATTGACCTTAATCCAGTAAGAAGAGGAAATTTAGACACAGGCACATGCTGAGGGAACAATATATGAAGACAGAGAAAAGACGGCCATCTACAAGCTCAGAAGAGAGGCCTGGAACAGATCCTTCCCTCACAGCCCTCGGAGGGAACCAATCCGCTGACATCTTGATCTCAGACTTCCAGCCTCCAGAATTGTGAGATGATAAGTTTCTGTAGTGTAAGCCAGCAGTCTGTGCTACTTTGTTATGGCAGCCCTAGTAAACTAAATAGGGACACCTGGAAAGTAGCTGTCTATGTACCAATTACTTGCCGCCTATCTTCTGAGAACAGGTTCAGGCCCTGACTACTGCTAAAGTTTGCATGGTCCGGGAAAAGAGAATAAATGGAGGCCACTTAAGAGAAATAAAATACTAATTAAAATTTATCAAGTTATTCTTTTCGTTTTGCATAAGATAGATTGTTCCTTAATGAAGTAGTGCTTCTTAGTAATTTAAGTATTTAACAATTATAAATCAAGCTAACAAATTATTATACACGTTTTATCCTTTTGTGTTGCAATAGTTTTGTAATAATAATAGTTCAAAAATATTTTCAGTAATTGTTTTAATGAGTGAAAATAAGCAAAATATCAGGGAAATGAATTTAATTATTATTGTGCTGATATGAGTGTTCCACTGATGAGTTGGCAAAATTTGGAGTAGTGAAACAAAAATATACACAATATATCATTATATATTAATTTCATCAACTTTACTTTGTCTTCATTTAGTCACAACCACTAATTATATAACTATACTCAAGATTTTTTTCTGATTTTTGTTCTACTTAATTAATTTTAAAGTATACACTATTTGAATATACCTTCAACGTAGTATAAATTAAACAAAATGTAACTACTTTCAGTGTGTACGCAATTTGAATATATTACCATCAGAAGTATAAACTAACTGGAATGTAAAATATTAAAATTATTTTATAAAGTTTTTTCTAAAATATGCAATATCATCTGTTAAAATTAAAATATAGACTACAACTTACAATGAGTAAAAATAAAAACGGTAAATCTCAACTATTTAAAGCTAACACTTAAAAATTCAATTAACTAAATATTTTTAAAATGAGACTATTACCAATTTTTGTAGTCAGTGTTTACCTAGTTGCCCAAATAAAGAGTATCACACTTAATACGTATGTGATTTAGACATAGATAGATGTACATATATATTCAAGCTTAAGAGAAATATTAAAAGTTTGATATTGCAAATGTTCCCCAGCTGGCAAGTAAAACTGTGTGAATACCATGCTAATTCACACACATTTTGGATCACAAACCAAATCCACAAATTAGAATACCATGAAGAGTCTGGATGCAGTGGCTCACACCTGTAATTCCAGTACTTTGGGAGGCTGAGGAGGGTGGATCACTGGAAGTCAGGAGTTTGAGACCAGCCTGACCAACATGGTGAAACCTCGTCTCTACTAAAAATACAAAAATTAGCCGGGGGTGGTAGTGCACGCCTGTAATCCTAGCTACTCAGGAGGCTGAGGCAGGAGAATTGCTTGAACCCAGGGAGGCAGAGGCTGCAGTGAGCCCAGATTGTACCACCGCACTGTACCCCAGCCTGGGTGACAGAGTGAAACTCCATCTCAAAAAAAAAAAAAAAAAAAAGAATACTGCGAAGAATAGCAACTAAATGGAGCCTCAGCACTATTGGAGAGTGACATTTTATTATGTAACAATCTATTTGAAAGGAAATAATTGACAAATGCATTTGTCTTCTCTTTTTTATTTTTTTGAGATTCAGAAATATTTTATTGGAAATGTGATGCAATTTCATTGTAACATCAGCTTTTATTTCTGTATACTGCATGAACTTTTCAAAACCATTCTCCAAAGTTAACCATTTAAAACTCATTCATGTATTTTATTATGCATCCTACAACAAAGACTAAGAAACAGGCAAGAATGACTATAAAACACGACTAATTACAGAAAAGTTAATCTATCTTTACATGAAAAAATTTTGAAACCAATTTTGTGTTTATTGAAGGATTTTTCTCATGCATATTATCCAAGATTTTTTTTCTGTCAGAGTATTAATTTCCTAGGATTGCTATAACAAATTACCACAAACTGGGTACCTTAAAACAGCAGAAATATATTCTCTCACTGTTCTGGAGGCCAGAAGTGCAAAATCATGTTAGCAGGGTAGCTACTACTGGAACTCTGAGGGAGAAACTATTCCATGCTTTTTTTCCTATCTTCTGATGGTTGCCACGATGTATCACTCCAATCTCTGCCTCCAGCTCCATGTGGCATTCTCCATTGTGTCTCTATCTTCTCTCTCTCTCTTTTTTTTTTTTTTTTTTTTTTTTTGTCAGAGTCTCGTACTGTCTCAAACTCAGGTTGCTCAGACTGGAGTGCAGGGCGCTATCTCGGCTCATTGCAACCTCTACCTCCTGGGTTCGAGTGATTCTTGTGCCTCAGCCTCCTGGTAGCTGAGATTACAGGCACTCACCACCACACCTGGCTAATTTCTGTATTTTTAGTAGAGACGAATTTTCGCCATGTTGGCCAGGCTGATCTTGAACTCCTGGGCCTCAAGCGATTCGCCCGGCTTGGCCTCCCAAAGTGTTGGGATTACAGGCGTGAGCCACCATGCCTGGCCTGTCTTCTCTTATAAGGAACACCAGTCATGTTGGATTAAGGGCCTGCTCTGTTCCAGTGTGACCTCGTCTTAGCTTACTTACAACCACAATCACAGTATTTCCAAATAAAGTCTCGTTCTGAGGCTCTAGGAAGTACATTAATTTTCGGGGGACACTGTTCAACCCAGTACATTCAGTTTCTATTTAACGTAAAAAATAATTCCCATACTATAAAGGACGAAAAAAGGACTTGTGAAATAGGTGAATGATTGTTGAATATACAAATGTGATCTTTTATTTTCCAACCACATACAGGGATAATAATTTTTTGGGAATATGTCTCATTCACAAATATGAGTTACATGCAAAGAGAAATTCATACATCGTTCAAGTAGGATTCAGGGAATTAACCTAGGTGCATTCTCTTGTTTCTATTTCAAGCATATTGTTCTCCAGATTTTTTTTCTAATCCTCATTTCCCTGTAGGATTGTTCAGATTTAAATAAAGCCTGTAAAGCAGAAGTAGTAAACAAGCCTGGGTACTAAAGTTAAATATTACAGAGGTAGATAAAATAAGTCTGAGGTAAATTCATGTATTTAATTCTTATCTATTTTGCCCATACAGTTATGCTGATATTTCATTCACTTGGATTCACCAACTTAAAATTTGTAACCATAATGGAGAATCTTTTTTCTGTATTTGAAAAAAGTTTACTAACCACATTAATAGCATATAAATATGATTTCAAGGTTAACTATTTAAGAGAGTATTTATTTATATGTATCATTCATCAACATGCCTCCTTCCATACCCCATGTGCCATTTGACTAATTATCTCCAACTCATCCTTCGGGTCACAATTCAAGTATGATGTTCTCATACCTGGTTTCTGACAACAGATAAAATCCTTACTAGATGCTCTTACAGTACCATGCATGACCTATTTGTAGTATTTACCACTGTGTCCATTTTGTATTGATTTTTGTGATTATAACTAACATAATTTTCCTCTACTAACCTCTACAGGACATGTATTGTGGGCCATGTATATTGTACTTACCTTTGCTTTTCTAATGACAAGTTCAGTGCTCACTGAATAACTGAATAAATTAGAAGTACATATTACACATAAAAAGTTAACATGTGAATTATGAATCAATCTCATCAATTTGTTAAAGAATCTTCTACCAAGCACTCTTTTCCTGAATAAACTTTTACCCTTATTACAGTTACCATATCTTTGTAACAACATTAAGGGAGTGTTGATTTTACTATATTAAATAGATAGCTTTCTATTTCAAATAGATTTGGCTGAATTATTTTGATTAGCTCAATTAAAAATACAAGATTCTAATAAGAGACTTTATTACTTACTAAAGGCATTGTGATCTATTATTAGATACAATTGACATGAAATATGAGTTTTGTGAAACAATTCTCTGTAAGGATTTTACATTTTTACTTTGAGATACATGAACAAAATGGCCATATCATACTGAAAAATCCGTTAAAAGTAATAGACAATAATTTGAAAAATGAAATTTTATCAGTATAACACATATTTAAACAAATATTTTAAAATATAAAATTTGTAAAAAGCCTACATTTGAGAAAGCTATAGTAATTATTCACAAGTAGGGACATTAAAATTCATTCCATAATCATCATTACTTGAGCCAGAGAAAGACTGTTGCAAATTAGAACATCTTTTTTTTTTTTTTGAGACAGAGTCTTGCTCTGTCGCCCAGGCTAGAGTGCAGTGGCGTGATCTCGGCTCACTGCAACCTCCACCTCCCAGGTTCATGCCATTCTGCCTCAGCCTCCCGAGTAGCTGGGACTACAGGCGCCCACCACCACGCCCGGCTAACTTTTTGTATTTTTTAGTAGAGACAGGGTTTCACCGTGTTAGCCAGGATGGTCTTGATCTCCTGACCTCATGATCCACCTGCCTCGTCCTCCCAAAGTGCTGGGAATACAGACGTGAGCCACCACACCCAGCGCAAATTAGAACATCTAAATTCAAAATGTAGGACATGCAGATATGATTATAATATCTTTCTCTTTGACAGCTTGAGTTTACGTATTTAGATAAACACAACATAGTATTATTAAAAAAAATTTCCTGGCCAGAGGAAGGATTGCATTTCAAGAGTCCAATGTGATGCAAAATTAATACATTTTTCCGGTCTTGAGATGCTACTCCCTGAGTGGAACTTTCTCTGTCATGCTAATATTTTCCACAGTTTCTTTTTGAGGAAAAAAAATGCTAAATGTTATCAATTTTTAGACTGTCCCATACTTAAACCTATATCAAGACATTCAGGAACATACCATGAGTAAAGACTAGAGAAACTGCAGAAAAAATTTGAAGAATAAGATGATGGTAACTTATAATTTGATAGTGGCTCTAAGCTTGGCTGAGCGCCCTCTGGGGTTATCTTGTACATCCTGATCTTATGGACTAAGTACCTTCTTGTATATCAATTCCCACATTAAAAGAGCTCTTCTCATAGAGCCGCCTTCTGTGTTTTCGTGGTCTGAACTCAATTGCAATGTTTTCATCACTTACTGTCTAACACTTAGGTTAAACCTTTCTGTCATGCTATTTCAAGCGAGTTCTTTTGACGATGCAATCCTGTAGTGAATGGAAGGAGAGGGTAACAAGGCGACCACCAGGTCTCAGAAACTTCTGAGCTGTCTTCAGTCCTGTGTAGAGTTCATTGAGCTCATTGTTCACAAATATGCGAAGAGCCTGGAAAGTCTTGGTGGCAATATGGGTAGGTCGCTATAGCAAGTCTTTTCGTGCATAAATAGCAGAGAGAGGAAATGCACCTGCGACGATGTTGGCAAGCTGCTGAGGCAGATGCTGCGTGCCTGAACAATTGCTGAAGCGATTTTCTTGGCATGCTTCTCCTCCCCGTATGTTCTGAGGATAGAAGCAAGTGCCTGTTGATCTAAAGCATTCACAACATCAGCAGCAGTGGGCATGTCAGGGTACCTGCTACCATCCATCCTCATGTCCAAGGGGCCATCTTTCCAAAGGGAAAAATCTTTCAGGAGTATCAAGTTGCATGGAGGAACACCCAAGATCCATAAGAACTCCATCAAAAGTCCCTGGCTGCACTCCAGCTTTCATTAACAAGGCTTCTGCCTGGCTGAACTGGCCCAGCATAGCTCGGATTTGTTTAGGATACAACTCTGAAAGATGTTCAGCTAATGCATAAGCTGTCGGGTTTGTGTCCAAGGCATACAGAACAATATCTGACTCCTTCTGTAGAATGGCTTTTGTGTGCCCTCCCGAACCAAATGTCATATCTAGAAAAAATCTGTCCTTTTTGTGGTGACAAACAATGAACAACATCCACCGTTACTGGAGTATGTAATTTAGCCATAGTTTCAAAATCTCTATCTTGAGATCTGCATAACTCCTGGGCTTGAGTTTGGTCTGTTTGCTACTGGGCTTCATATTCTTCATATTTTTCTGCTGTAGTATGTATTCTTTTTGGCCAGATACCTAAATTAGGTATGCCAGATTCCAACCAACATGAAAGACATTCTTTATACATTCTACAAAAATAAGGATACTGAAGCATTCTGTAGGTCAGCAAATCTGAGGCACGAAGACTTCTCAGCTGGCCTCTAACTTGGGCCGGCGACTACCACTACAGTGCCAGAGAACCTGAATTTGCTGCACGCCCAGGTCTTACCCCTGAGGGAAACTCTGTCTTCTCTTTCTTAACTGTTTTTGCCACTTACACTCTTTTTGCATTCAGAACCACTCTCTGCCAACCCACATAATCATGGCATTTGTAGATAGATGCCTTCTGTCCTAGGAACATAGAGCAGTAGATTAGGAAAAACATTTCCTTGGGGCTTAATTTGTTTGAGTCACAGAAGAGATGTTTAGGCTCACAGGTTGTGCTGTGATGGTGCTGCGTGCCAGACCCTGAGATACAGAGGTGCTCATGCGTTCTTTAATACATACACATTTTTGTTTGTGCCCCTGGCATGTGTGGACATATTTTTGTGTTTGTGATCTGTGAAGCTGTTTGAAGAGTGGGAGACAGAGTAAGGGCCTGCATCTCTTCCTTATGTCTGAGGGTGTGCAGGGGGTTGAATAGTGTCCCCCAAAATTTATGTTCACTCAGAACCTCAGAATGTGACTTTATTTGGAAGTGAGGTATTTACAGATGTAATTAGTTAAGGATTTCCAGATGAAATAATCCTGGATTTACGGTGGGCCTTAAATCCAGTGGCTCACGGTGTCCTTAGGGGAGAGAGCACAGACACATATGCACAGGGACGAAGGCCACAGGAAGAAGGAGACAAAGGCTGGAGGTAGACTGCCAAAGGCAAGGAAAGACTGGACCATTAGAAGCTGGGAGAGGCAAGGAATCATCTCCCCTAAGCCTTCAGAGGGGAGCAAGGCCCTGCTGGCAACTTGATTTTGGACTTTTAGGCTCCAGAGCTGTGAGAGAATAAATGTCTGTTGTTTCAAGGCTCCTTTTCGTGGTACTCTGCTGCAGCATCCCTAAGAAACTAATCCAGCGGGGTCCTGGTCACAGTGGATTTCCTCTGACATTGACTCTTGTCTTTAGTAACCAGGGAGAATAATCCAAGAAATATTTTTCTCTCCATGTACCCTAACAATTCTTGTATCAACATGATGGAACCCCATTATAAGTGCATTTGATTTAATCAAATTCAATTTCTCAAAAAAAAGGAAAAAAAAAAGAAGAGAAAACTGATAATTTCAAGTGTTAACAAATAATGTATTTACCATTTCAGTGAGCATGTATCCCATTCAGAATGAACTCTGGGTTTGAAACACAAATCTGTGCTCCTTTATCAGTCATGTTTCCTCATCCTCTCACACTGTAAGCATCTCTCTTTCTTTCTCTGACTCTCTCTCTCTTTTATCACCTTTATATCTAATAAAACCTTCTTCCCAAGTTCAAACACATTAATATACCTGTGCTTAACCAAAGAGAAAGTAATCTGTTCCAATCCTAAAGGAAATGACTCAGCTGCACTGAAATTAGTCACTGCTATGTAACCTAGGAACAAGATGTCATTACTATGTATGCAGTCTGGGAGCTGAATATCAAGCTCTAGACCTACCTGTGAACATTCAAACACTCATTTCCAAACTGAGTAAAATGGTATCTGCCTCTGATGTTGCTCAATTCGTTAACCATTATTGCCATATTCTCACTGTATTGTGATAATAAATAAAATATATAGTTGTGATTCTCAAAAGTTTCTTGAAACTATTCTTAGGCCATAATGTTTACAGGGAAAAATTATGAGAAGAAATACACTCATAAATGTTTGAAAAATCTTGCACCATATAAAACTTTATAAATTTGTCTTGTAATACTTAGGCTATGTTTTAACTTCCTTATTTTTTCCAGGGTGGGAGAAGGAATGTTCTCTGGAGAAATCTGTATGATAGAATAGTGAAGGTAACTGGCCTGAACTACAGCTCTTGAGCCATCTGGTTTCACCTTCAGGGAGGTAAGTGCACTGAGAAGTACTAGCTAAGTGTGGGCACGGACATTGGAACCTCAAGATGCAAAAGAAGAGATATTTTCTTCACATTTGTAGGCAGACTCAACAGTATCTTTAACAGGTTCTTTGAAAAAATATTTCATTGAAAATAGCATGTTATCTGCTGGGTGTGGTGGCTCACGCCTGTAATCCCAGCACTTGGAGGGGCCGAGGCAGATGGATCACCTGAGGTCAGGAGTTTGAGATCAGCCTGGCCAACACGGTGAAACCTTGTCTTTACTAATAATACCACAATTAGCCAGATGTGGTGGCACACACCTGTAATCCCAGCTACTTGGGGGGCTGAGGCAGGAGAATCACTTGAACCTGGGAGGCAGAGGTTGCAGTGAGCCAAGATTGCACCATTGCACTCCAACCTGGATAACAAGAGTGAAACTCCATCTCAAAAAAACAAAAACAAAAACAAAAAAAGTGTGTGTTATCTTGTTAATCTCTGAGATATAAGTAATATTGAAATTTAATATCCCAAGATTTGAAATTCAAGCATCCTAAGCTTAAATATTCATAGCTTACTGGATGCTTGATATTGGGGAATCTATTTAACATGGTAGGGTTATCAGTTTCATTGTTTATAAAATGGGCAAAATAGCAGTTGCTTATAGAATTCTTACAAGGATTAAGATAGCTCCTACAAAGTTTCTGGTGCAGTGCCTGATGTATAATAGGCATTGATCAAATGAAACCTACTATTCTTTATCCTACTGCACAGAAATTTGTATGTTATTTTAATTAAAAATTTGAAAAACAATTTGTAAAATGAGCACTGTTCATCAATAACAGATATATTTTGAAATGATTTGCCGCCAGAAATGATTTTGATTGGGGCTGGTGATTGCTGCTACTGTTTTCAAACAATTTTGTTATATTTACAAAATTTGGGGGCCACAGGAAAATCTCCGCCAGGATTATTCACACCCTGTCACTTCCTTTCTTCTCTTTTGAATGCCTAACATGTAAGTGTATGGAAAGCGTTGCCCAAGAGGAGAGGCCCCAGAAGCTGCTATGCTTCTCCAGACTCTTCCTTTAAAGCTGTAGATGTAAATTCATCCACAATGGAAAGTTTAATGTGTGCCATCTTAGAGTGGCAAAGTGCAGTGTATTTGCAGTAAGACTGCTTAGTATTGTAGGCTCTAATCTATTCATTGTTTATTTCTTGTTGATAATCATGACCACTTGCTGATTGCCCCTCTTACGTTGGCCAGGACAGGGTAATTTTACAGGCTGTATTCAGGGTGCAGACAGTTTCGTGGATGCTCTTCCTCCTGCAAGAAAAATCACTAGAGACAATCACAGTGTTTAGAAGGCTTACAACAAATTATTTTCCACTTGGTAGTCCTAATATTTCGGTTTCAGAAAACCAATTAATACAGTTTACTGGTAAAGAAAGGGAATTAGGTTGGATTAGGATACAAATTCACTGCAATTTTATCTCTTCTGCTGGTGGTAAGAAAGACAAAAAAAGACAAAACAAACTTAACCTGTGAGTACTGATGTACCCACAACCTGCTCACATATTGTGTAGAGATTCTGCCTGTCTGAGGCCTTAATTCTAATAAAAATCTGATGAATATTATGAGATGTTTAATATTATGTTGTCTTAACTTAGAACCCAAGTTAAAATCTGTTAATATTTTTAGGATTTATTTTTCTCTTTTTACTAAAGCGAGCCCTATTGGTCTTAGAATGTTTCTGAGCAGTACATCTTTTAAATGACTTTAAATGACCCCTTACCTCAATATCTTGTTTCTACAGATAAGAATATATTTCACAAAAAGTTGGAATTACAAAGAATATTTTAAAACCCAATCATTTTATCTTTATCGTTTTTAAAATCAAGTGACTCAAAAATATGCATAATTTTTCACCACACAATTTGAAGGTTGTGACACTGACTGGCCCCATTTTGTACATGGTGGACCTGAAATTCCAGCGGTTCATTCCCGTCTTCTGCTGTGTCTGAAAACACACATGCCAATATAATCACAGAGGGAGAACCATGAGCGGAGAACAGGGCAAAGAGGACACAGCCTTATTACATGTCAGATTACTGCTATCTCCGATAGCCTAGGTGCTCCTTCCTTCTTACAAAATAAACATCTTTGTTCCTTCAATAATATGACTTGGCATCTATACAGCATATAAAATATTGTTATAAAATATTGGAAATTTTCGATTCAGACCCCTTAAATGATTTACTCATTTAGTGCACCCAGAACAAAGAAACATACACTGTACGGCAACAGGTGCTTAAAAGAGCCTTGAGGGAAATACATTCATCAGAATGTCATTATATGCTATATGCACATTACTTATTTATTTTCTCATACTGTCCTGAGGAAAAGTAAGCACCTGCAACCCATAGGTAAGGCTTTTATTTACAGGGTCCTTTTACACTCTGGGTAGTTTTTGCCAAAGCATCAAAGCATTGTAGCTGTTACCTTCTTTATATACTTTATGTATATAAGCAGACTCTTTAGCTAATATAAAAATAAAGAAATAGAGCTACAGAAACCCATTTTATTTATTGCCTCTCCCACATCTAAACATCCATTTTAAAATAATATCACTATGTCCTGGAGTATCTCTGTCCTGCTTTGTGTTTTGCTAGTACCAGGTTGGACCTCCACTTACTACATACTTTCTCAGTGCATCATAACTACAGAAGGACCCATGCTATATAACTTTACACAGGTTTTCCTCGTGATAAAAACACGATGGGTTAACAACCCTTAAAATTTCTTATTTTCTTTACCAAATATAATGGTTTTGTAATTTTACACCAGGATCTGCGGCATAAGGAAGGTAAGAGCATTCTGAGTGTGTTATAAAATAATTATCTCTGGTAAATAAAGATCCATATAATTCTTTCCTTACTTATATTAAGATTTCTCCCCCTGCACTTGAATCCTTAGAAAAAGATGCTTTAGTATAAACATGGTCTTTGGCTTTACTTCTAAGAGCTGACATGAACCATAAAGATTTTTTTTCAAGAAGCAAATGCAATAAAGGGAACAATGGAGCCAAATATTGCTTAGTGCTAGGGATATGGGCCACAGCTGTGAACTGGATGAGTAGATTTCCCTGTGCATTTCCACTTTATTCTTCTAAGTATGTACATCTACTTATTCTATTTTATTACTAGTTAGGAAATGCCAGTAAGCATGTGTTTGGCGGAGGTGAGTACATGTCCTTCCCAGTGTAGTTTGGCTCTAAATGATATTCTTATTAGATCCCTGGTGCACTGGGCCAATGGAATAGGCAGCTGAAAAGATATAGAGGAAGGAGTCAGTAGTCTTAAGAAGCAGTCAGGAATTGTATCAATCAGGATTTTTTTTTTCAGTTGCTGATGTCAAAGCCCAATTCCAGTTAGCATGAGCAAACAAAGGTGGTTTATTGGTACTTGTAACGCAATTGCAGGTCGTATAGGTGCAGAGCTGTCCTTAGGGATGATGGAGGCCTTGGAGGTCATCACCTTCGAGACTCTCTGCCTTTATGTGTGGGTTGGCTTTATTTTTTCACTGATGCAGATGGGTTTTCTCTGTGTGTGGTAGAACTCCAGACTCACATTCCTCCAGTTTCATTGTTTGAAAAGAAAGTAGTTCTTTCTCTTCCAGTTCTAGTTAGCAAATCCTCTGGTGCTTTAAGCCAATTACTCACACCTCCTAACTTCTGGGTTCTATCTGAAAGAGAATAACTGGTAACAACTGTTAGAACAACTGGGATCAGTGCATAAAGTCAACCACTGCAAAACAATGGACTGACTGTAGAATAGGTTTACTCCTTCCTCAAATTTAGTCTCAGAACTACCTATGCTTCTACATAATTAACTGTCTGCCTATCTACCCAGCTTCACAGAGGATTGAAGGCCTGCTTCATGCGCTTCTTCGCTAACAGAAATGAGAGAAAGAGAGAGACATTTTGGTCAGGCTTATCTCTCGAAATTAGATCTTATGTACCCTAACTTTGCATGGCAGCAAAGAAGAAAAAGAGACCATTGTGTTTCTTAGATATCTGGAAGACAGAAAACAGGATCCGGGGCAAGAGTCTATTACTTCTTTTTAAGAGTGGTAATCTGACTCCATGGCCCAATGAGCATGAAGCTCTGACCAGGTAGAGTGGTTATTTCTCCTGTAGTATGGAGGCATGGTAGCTGTGCTCCCTCCAACACTGCCTTCCCAGGCAGAGCAGTTGTTCTTCCTCCTTTAGACAGCTGAGGAGGAAGAGAAACATTTCTCCTTCCCCTTCAGCAAAAAAGAAAGAAAGAAAAAAAAGCCCTGCTTCATGCTGGTCAGGTCACATGTTTATCCCTCAACCACTTACTAAGACCAGGGGACTCAGACACTGTGATTGACCCCAACTGAGACCATGTCCACACTAGTGGATGGATGGGTGCTGTAGGAATTTTACCAGAGATAGAGTGGAGGGATATTATAGTTCAGACACGACCATCAACAATTGTTCTAAGCCAAACAGCCTCTGTGATAAAGATAAGAGGGCAGGGTAGACTGTTGATTTGGAAATTTTGACAGAGAAGTCAGTACATGGTAGATGGATATCAGATACTCAGTGAGTGACAGACCATATACAACATTGTCAAAGAAAACTCTCAAGAACTAGTTCCATAACTTCTTTTTTTTTTTTTTTTTTGAGACGGAGTCTTGCTCTGTCGTCGCCCAGGCTGGAGTATGATGGCGTGATCTCAGCTCGC
>NT_187590.1:0-119498 GCF_000001405.40 Homo sapiens
CTTTTCTTGTTGTTTTAGATCCTTGTAGTCAACCTCTTGTTTGTGAATTTCAGGTAGTTGTAGATAGATGGGTAATACTTTAAAATATCTGAACGTGACTAAGAGTCAAGAACTTGCTCTCCTTGTTGCATTTCCAAAGGGGTCTTTGTTGATGGAGCTGTTCCTTGCACGTTTCCAGGTTGCAAAAGAAGAATGGTCTCAGACCCTTTGGATCAACCTGAATGTGCAGATTCTCCAGGAAGGAATTGAAGGTTTTCTCAGGGCTCTCAGAAAGCTACCTCGGCCAGTCCGTGGCTTATCAGTGACCTACTACTTGGAAGCAAAAATGAAGGCATTCAAAGACTCGATTCCTTTACTTCTTGACTTGAAAAACGAGGCACTAAGAGACAGGTTTGTTTTGTCCTCTGTCCGCAGATGTAAAAGTGTGGGAGGAGCTTTTAGTTAAAATTGTTTCCCTCAGTACATTATCTTTGGTCTGATGATGAAGCACACAATTTCAACAATGCCGCAGGGCTATACATGGGCACGACACAGTTCTATAATGTTGTTTCTATGTAAAGTGTCTGTAAAACTGTCAACCACAGGATTCTTTTAAAAAAGAAAGATCCCAGCAGGTGCAAAGTGGGCGTTTGCAGTTGCTTTTCTCGAAGATTTAAAAAACTATAGTAAGTGACCTTGATCAGCCCCATCCAGCAGACATCAAACGGAACTCACATATGTAATTTACAGTTTTTTAGCTGCTACAGTAAAAGAGTAAAAACAGGTGAAATTAATTTTAATAGTATATTTTAATTAACTCAATATATCCCAAACATTATTTCAACATGTAATCAACATGAAACATTTATTCATGAGATATTTTACATTCTTCTTAAAAAATATGTCAAAGTGCAATGTGTATTTTATATCTATAGCCTATTTCAACCTGGGCTTGCCCCGTTTCAAGTGCTCCATAGACACGCGTGGCTTGTGGCCACCATACTGATGGGATAGCCAGCCCTGTGGGTGGGACAGAGGGGGCATGGGTCTGTGTTTATTTGGTGATGGCACCACACAGACACGAATTAGGAGTTACAGTCCTCATTTGTGAGTTATGCTTCTGCTCGTGTTCCTCTATTCCTCGGTCATGTTTTCCAAAGTGTGGTCATCTAGTCATGCCATGACATCAAGTGACTTCATTTTCCCTAGTGAGAAAGTCATCCCTTCTTTGGTTCCCTTCCTATCCTTGAGTTCACACTGAGAAAGTCTCTCGTAAGTGCTGGCTTGTTTTCAACACCTGTTACATCTGTCTCTCCCTCTCAACAAGGAGCAGGCAGCCCTCAGGCCCTGGTGACGTGGAGTCTTAGCCCTCTTTTCACTGTCTGCTGGCTTCCCTGGAGCACTCACCTTTACCTTTGCAGGCTTCAGTTTCCTCATCTGTAAAACTAGGTAGAAGTAGGCATTTTCTAGCTAAAGTTCTCGGTTTTATAATCCCATAACCCAGTGTTTCTCAAACTTTGGTCCTGTCTCATCATTTTTGTCAGATCTGAGTATCATCTATGCTGTCATGGCTTTATATTTTTCTTCCTATCAGTTTCTTTTTTATGGAAATGAATGTTATTCTAAAAATAAACTTCCACCACCACTGTAAAGAGAAAACCAAAAGCTCTTGCCAGAAATAGAAAGTAATTATTAAAAAAAAAAAAACTAGCTCAAAACAGTCGCCTGTCTCTGAGCCAGAGACCTTCGCTCTAAGAAAGGTGAATGACCCTGGGGAGGGACTGAGGACACAGCGTAAGAATTAAAGAAAGAGGAAAGAAACACAAAAGGTGGCTTGCCAGTCAAAACAGGTTTATTTTAGAGAAAACAAACCTGAGAGGGGATTCTGGCCAAGTTAGGTCAGAGCCACACTCTCTTAGAGACTAAGAGTTTTTAAGGATTTAGGGTGGGAGAGCTTATCTGAGGCTTGGACTGCTTCTGTGTCTCTCTGTTGTGCTTATCTGGGAGGGAGAGTTGTGTGTCTATTCCCATTCATTTTTCTGCAGCAGCAGGCATACTCGCCGAGTCTGCTTTTAGCTCCCCTATCTTAGTGCACCTGAAGGGAAAGGAATGTTCTTATTAAGGTCCACTGTTTTACTGGGACCCATTGTATAAGGGTGAAGTTTGGCAGTTACCCAAGAGACTTCCTCCTCTCCTCCCTCTGTGCCTGAGCTGTCTTGTCTATGTTTTCCTGTCTGCTCTTTCTGGTGGCTTGTAGTTAGAAGATAAGTGATTTCCTTAAAATGCATGGGCTGGAAAGGGAGCTGGACCTTAAAGTGGTGGTGTTTGTCCAAGATGAGGTTGCTCCTGCTCTGTCACACAGAAGCACAAAGAGGAGACTTTCCCTTCGATGTAATTTACTGTAATTGAAAGGACTGGGCGGGAACTGGAGAGGGAATCACTCTCTCCCAGTGACTCAGGGCTGAGTTATGTTGAGTGTGGACCCTCTAATCCACCACCAGGGTTATGTCACAGGCTGGCCCCAGGTCCGCTCTGCCCACATGCAGTCCATCAATCGCCGTGACATGGGTTTTGCGAAACAGATTTATTTGCAAGGCCGCCAAGCAAGGAGGCAGGTGAGCAGCCCTCACATCTGCCTTCCTGAAGATAAGGCTTAGGGATGTTTAGGCATTAGGGGAGTGGGGTGGTCGAAGTTGAGGGGGAAGGTGGTTGGTGGTGGGAAAAAGGAAGTAACAGGTTCATTCTGAGCAAGTGTAGCTGGGGTTCACAGCATTTCACAGGACATAGGCACAGAAAGTGGGGGCATCGGCATGGCCTGAGGGTAGAGTGTTTGGCCTTCCAACGTCAAAAAGGCCACCTCTGGGGCACTTGCACAGGCCCAGTTGAAAGGTCAGTGGTCTCAACCAGTTGGAACTGGACAGAGGAGTTGGTTCAACTTCCTGAAAAACAACCAAAGTCACCATCGCCATCGTGGCCTGTGAATGTTATCCATAGTAGCCAGTGAAGGTTAAGTTTCAGCGTTCAGTGGTGAGACCTTCAGCTTCATGGGAAAAGGGGGAAAAAAATAAAAAGCAAGTGACCATAAGCCACAGAGCAGGCACTGATGACCCTTACCCTTCAGTTTCAGTTCTGACACCCTCCTTCCTGTCCGTGCTGTGCTAGGCCAGGGGGTTCAGAGACCGATGAACCAGTAGGGCCTCCTTTCTGACCATTTCCATGGCCGTGTGTGTGTGTGTGTGTTTACAACACTCAGTGATTCAACACTTGCTGCTCACGTGCTGGGTACGTGGCGTTCTGCTGTCTAGCGTCATGCTTAGCTGCCTTACTCACACCCATTCCATATACACAGAACTAAAACATGGGCAAATTCACAGGCCAAATGCAAAACCTTAAAGGAAGGCCAGTCAGGTGAAGAGCAGAGCTGCCCCCGTTGTGTCTGTGTGCACAGGAGTCTGCCCCGACTGTCCCGTCTGAATGGGCCCCTTCATACCTCCTCTGGCACACTGCAGTTTTCTCATAGTACTCAAAACCCTATGTCATTATTTAATTTATAGATTTGTTGATTGTTTGTTGTTTGTCTCCCCAAGTAAGTGGCAGGTTCTCTGAAGCTAGGAGCCTTGCCCTTGATAACTCTGTACCCCAGTCCACTGCCTGGCACGGAGTCAGCACTGAAATATTTATCAAATGCACGAGAGCTCATAATTTACATGAGGCTCTCAAAAAGGCTGAGTGATTCAACAGAGGTTGAGGTCATTGGTTGAGAGACTATGACAGAAGCCGTTCCCAATAATTAAAAGTTGTGTATTTTATGAGAAGGCCGTGAAGACTAGTGTATAGTGTATACAGTATTTTGCAAGATGTTGTTTTCCGGTTTAACTCTGGAGGCCAGTGGGATTTTGGAGAACTTTGGGAATATATTTCTAATGATGTCCTCATGTTGCAGAATTTCATTATAAGAAGTTTACAAAATGAGATTTGTCCTGTGATTTAAATGGGAGTAATTGAACTCCTCACTAAATTCAGTAAGCATAAAGATTTGAATGCTGATGTGCTTTCAGGCATTGGAAAGAACTTATGGAAAAAACGTCTGTCTTTTTTGAAATGACCGAAACGTTCACCTTGGAAAATATGTTTGCTATGGAACTGCACAAACACACAGATGTTCTCAATGAGATTGTCACAGCAGCAATCAAGGAGGTTGCCATTGAGAAGGTAAGACTTCAGTTAAAAACAGGCTGGAGAAAACAGTCTTTTTTTAATTCAAAGAGAAAATAGGGAGAACTCATCTATACTAAAAAAAAAAAAAAATTAGCTGAGCGTGGTGGTATGCCATTACTCCCAGCTTCTTGGGAGGCTGAGGTGGGAGGATCACTTGAACCTGGAAGGTGGAGGCTGCAGTGAACTGTGATCGCACCATGGCACTCCAGCCTGGGTGACAGGGTGAGACCTTGTCTCAAAGAAGAAAAACAAACAAAAAAGAGAAAACATATTTGCTCTAGTACCTGCTGTACTTCAGTAATAAAGAATTATTTGTTGTAGAAATAGAATTTCCTTAATTAAATTTTTTGTTGTTCCCAATTGTAGTTTCATTTTCCATTGTTTAAAAAAATTTTTTCTTATTGTTTCTTATTTATTTATTTTGCCATTGATTTTTAAATAGATGTAATGGATGTTCATGGTAGAAAATTGAAAAAAAATTCATAATCCCACTACCTGAAAATAATTATTAACTTTTTAGTGTATTTCTTTGCCTACTTAAAAATGCATGCACACATGTATACATATGCATACACACATACTACTCATATATGTGCACATACACCCATGCATTTGTATGCACTAACATACACGTACACAGGTACACACATACACATATCCCTACACATATATGTATATAGTCAGGTGTCACCTAATGGCAGGGACACATTCTGAGAAATGTGTCCTGAGTTGATTCGTGATTGTGCAAACAAACCTAGCTGGGATGACTACTGCACACCTAGGCTATTGGGTAGAATCTATTGCTCTAGACTGCAAGCCTGTACAGCAAGGAACTACATTGAGTACGGCCAGCCATTGTAACCTAATAGTACGTGTGTATCTAAACATAGAAAAGGTACAGCCAAGGCCGGGCATGGTGGCTCACGCCTGTAATCCCAGCACTTTGGGAGGCCGAGGAGGGTGGATCACGAGGTCAGGAGATCGAGACCATCCTGGCTAACACGGTGAAACCCCGTCTCTACTAAAAATACAAAAAAAATTAGCCGGGTGTGGTGCCGGGTGTGGTGGCGGGTGCCTGTAGTCCCAGCTACTCGGGAGGCTGAGGCAGGAGAATGGTGTGAACCCAGGAGGCAGAGCTGCAGTGAGCCGAGATCGCACCACTGCACTCCAGCCTGGGTGACAGAGCAAGACTCTGTCTCAAAAAAAAAAAAAAAGGAAAGGTACGGCCAAAATATGGTCTAATAATCCTATGGGACCACCATTATATATGAAATTCATCACTGAATGAAACATCCTTATGCAGTACATGACTGTACATAGTACACCACACATGTATACACACGTATATGCATGTAGACACATATGCATGCAAACACACAAAATATACATACAGTGTGCACACAGTGTACCTAACATATACACATAATGTATACACACATGTACATATGCACATAATGTACATACAGTGTACCTAATATACACACGTACACATAATATATATACATGTATACATATACACATAATGTACACACAGTGTACCTAATATATACATGTACACATAATGTACACTATGTATTCGTATACACACGATGTGCACACAGTGTACCTAGTATGCACACGTACATATAATGTACACACATATACATATACACACAATGTTCAGTGTACCCAATATACACAGGTACACATAGTATATACACATGTATACATATACACACAGTGTACACAATATACCAAAGATACGCATAATATACATATAATGTACACATGTACGTATGTATACACATATACATATGTATCAATACAGATTTTTTTTTTTTTGAGACAGGGTCTCCCTATGTTGCCAAGGCTGGTCATGAACTCCTGGGCTCAAGCAGTCTGCTCACCTTGACCTCCTAAAGTATTAGGATTACAGGCATGAGCCACCGCACCCGGCCTCAATATAGATTTTTTGTTTTGAATATGGAATCATAAGAGGCATATCATTTTGTAATTTGGTTTTTGTGACAGTAGAGTAAGCACAGGGGCAGAATCTCATAACTGTGCAGACTTCGGGGGCAGACTGTGGGGTTTAGACCCTGTTTCTGGGGCTCAGTAGCTGAGCTTCATGTCTGAGCCCCAGTTGCCATCTCTGTAAAATGTGGGTGATAATAATCCCTACCAATATACTTTGAGGTATTTGCTTTGAGGACTGAATGAGATCGTGTATGTGACATGCTTACCTGCCACATAGCGAATGCTTGATAAGTGGCAATTATTACCATGACAGAATCCCAACTTTTCAGGAAACAGACCCAGGACTCCGATTGCATTGTTGGCCAAAAGCAAGCTAAGGAAGGTGTTTTTGGGTTGGGGCTCGGTCCTTTCAGTTCGTGTGCCTGAATCATTCTTTTTCTATTCCTGAACAGGCTGTGAAGGAAATCCTAGACACGTGGGAAAATATGAAATTCACTGTAGTCAAGTATTGCAAAGGCACACAGGAGCGAGGCTACATCCTGGGTTCTGTTGACGAAATTATTCAGTCTCTTGATGACAACACTTTCAACCTGCAGAGCATCTCAGGAAGCAGATTTGTGGGGCCTTTTCTGCAAACTGTTCACAAATGGGAAAAAACGCTTTCTCTAATAGGGGAAGTCATTGAGGTGAGAGAAAAGATGAACAAAAGATGGATTAGAGCCAGTGCATAGCAGTGGCTTTTATATGAGGATATTTTGTGCTTAGAACTTTTATATGAGGATATTTTGTGCTTAGAAACAAATGATCCTCTTTCATACTTTTTTGTCTTGATTTATTTTGAGGACAAGAGTGCATGATCAAAGGAATTGATCTGAATTTTTATTTTAGTGAATGATTTTCATTTCCAAGATTCCTAATTGCTTCTTTTTCATATATCTCTGTTTTTCTTTGATACTGTCCTGTTCTTGTTGCAAGGATGCTTTTGCCTCCTTGATGACACTGAAAATTAGAAACATACTTATTTTACATTCCTTTTCGATTTCTCTACACTTTTTAAAAAAATGTCTGTTGACTCTCTCTTGTGGTGGTGGATTTTCCTCTGTGTGATTTTGATTTTTTTTTCTAGCTCATCTCACATGTAGTTTTTTTCTTGTGTTTGCTTCACTTTGTCATCTGTTTTTGCAGCCTCTTTAACCTGAGGCCTGTCACACTGGGAAGTAGCAAGGTCTTATAGTAGGTGGTTTGGGGCTTTCTTCCTTTTGGGCAATACTTATCCAGACCTCTGTGAGCAACCCAGGCTCACTGCACCATTTTTGTGCAGTTGCCTTTTTTTCCTCCCCAGACCACAGGCAAGCACCTTGTTTTTGGCCACAATCCAAGCCTTGGGTGGGATGAAGCCAGGCCTGGTTCACTGGCCAACTGTGTGATCAGGCCTCCATCATGCCTGGGCTTCCTTTCCTTGCTTTTTTGTTTGTTTGTTTTGTCTATGACTTTGTGTTAGTGGAAGCTCTTATGTGGGATATAGCACTGTTTTTTAATTTGTGAGTAAAAAACAATTTTTTTTTAGATGGAGTCTTGCTCTGTCACCCAGGCTGGAGTGCAGTGGTGCCATCTCGGCTCATTGCAACCTCTGCCAGCCGGATTCAAGTGATTCTCCTGCCTCAGCCTCCCGAGTGGCTGGGATTACAGGCATGTGCCACTATGCCTGGCTAGTTTTTGTATTTTTAGTAGAGATAGGGTTTCACCATGTTGGCCAGGCTGGTCTTGAACTCCTGACCTCAAGTGACCTGCCCACCTCGGGCTCCCAAAGTGTTGTGATTATAGGCATGAGCCACTGTGTTCAGTCAAAAAAAATTTTCTATTGAGGTAAAATTTAAATAACATAAAACTAGTGATTGTAAAGTGCACAATTCAGTGACATTTAGTACATTCACAGTGTTGTGCAACCACCACCTCTAATTCCAGATTTTCATCAAACCAAAAGACAAGCCAGTACCCCTTAAGCAGTCATTCCCTACCATCTCCTCCCCCAGCACCTGGCAACCTCCAGTCTGTTTTCTGTGTCAATGGATTTACCTATTTTGGATAATTCATATAAGCGGAATGACACAATATATGATCCTTTACGTCTGGCTTTTGTCACTTAGCGTGATGTTTTCCAGGTTCTTCCATGTTGTAGCATGTGTCAGTGCTTCCGTCCTTTTTATGGCCCAATAATATTAAATCATGTGGATTGATCACATGTTGTTTTTCTATCCATTGGCTGATAGACATTTGGGTTGTTTCCACCTTTTGGCTATTGTGAACAGTGCTGCCGTCAGCATTCATGTACAACTACTTGAGTCCCTGTTTTCAATTCTTTTGGGTCAATACCTAGGAGCGGAATTGCTGGGCACATGGTACTTGGCTCACTTTTTGAGTGTCTGGCATGGCCTGTCCTTCGCTGTTGTGGGTCACAGGCTTCACCCTCTTCTCATAACTAGAAGTTTTCCTACCTGTGCTGGGCTGCATGGAGAGCTTTCTTTTGCTTTTGAGTGTGGCCGTTAGTTATGCTTTCCCCAGCATTCCCATTCATTTGGAGTGGAGGGGAGCTGGCCATGCAGATGCTCACTCTGTCACCTTGCCTGGAAGGTCCTCCCACCTGAGTTGATTTGGTTCTGTCTCATGTCAGGATGGGGCTTTGCCATCCACTTTTGGAGGTATCTGATAACCCCTGCTGACACTGACCTTTTGTACATTTACAGATTTGGATGTTGGTTCAGAGAAAATGGATGTATCTTGAAAGTATTTTTATTGGTGGAGATATAAGATCACAACTTCCGGAAGAGGCAAAAAAGTTTGACAACATCGATAAAGTATTTAAAAGGGCAAGTGACTCGCTTCTATTTTAGTAATGAAAGAAGGGCAGCGATTTGAGATATTTGTACCTTTTTATTTGCACATTGTATTTTCTCCATTAGTAGCTTCTCTCTCATTTTTTAGAGACAGGGTTTTGCTCTGTTGCCCAGGCTGGAGTGCAGTGATGTGATCGTGGCTCCCTGTAGCCTTGAACTTATGGGCTAAAGAGATCCTCCTAACTCAGCCTCCCAAGCAGCTGGGACTACAGGCATGTGCTGCCATGCTCAGCTAATTAAAACATTTTTTATAGGGATAGGATCTTGCTATGTTGTCCAGGCTGGTCTCAAACTCCTAGCCTCAACTGACTCTCCCACATTGGCCTCCCAAAGCACTGGGATTACAGGAGTGGGTCACCTTGCCTGGCCCACTAGTAGCTTCTGAATTTTTCGTGTCATTATTTATGACCCTAATCTGTCTAGTAAAAATTCCCATTTGATTTTTAGCTGCTGGCATATGACACTGAATCTTTTTTACATTTATTATAAAAGCAATATTTGCTTGTTTAAAATATTTTGAAAGTGTAGAACAGTGGAAAAATGTATCTCTCATGGTTCTGTCACTTTAATGGGACCACTTTAACATGTCAATATATTCCTTTTATCTTTTTCCTATGTGTATAAGTTTAAAAAGCATAATTGTAATCATATTGTGTACAACTTTATATCATAATTTTCTCTTAATATTATGAGAAACAGTTCATATTAGGAAGTCATCTGAGAAAATAATTTCATGGCTCTCTATATTCCAGGGAGTGGGCTGACATTAGTTTAGTTGATTACTCTCCAGTAATTTGACATTTTGTTTGAACAGAGTTCTTTGCTTTCATAAATAATGTACAGGTTCTTGCCTAATGCTTTTTCCATAGTTAGAGTGAATGTCTTAAGATAGATTGTTAGAAAGCAAATTGCCCGTGAAAGGGTGTGTGTATTTTAAAGTCATTTCCAAAAAGGGTTGGACTGGTCATCACAGTGACTGTAGTTAGTGTGGCTGGGATTTTAACCCAGCTCTCCTGCTCTCAAAGCCCGGGTATTTTGCTACTTAGCTTTGCTGCTGTGTTCTTTAATTATAGGTGGCCAGTTCATGTTTTGATCTCTTTTATCCACTAGAGTTTATAACTGTTTCATATAATTGTTGCATAAGCTCTTTTTTTAAACTTAAAAGAATTGTACAACACATATCAGGCTGGACGGTGACTCACGCCTGTAATCCCAGGACTTTGGGAGGCCGAGGTGGGCGATCACTTGAAGTCAGGATTTCGAGACCAGCCTGGCCAATATGATGAAACTCTGTCTCTCTCTCTTTTTTTTTTTTGAGACAGAGTCTCGCTCTGTCGCCCAGGCTGGAGTGCAGTGGCACAATCTTGACTCTCTGTAAGCTCCACATCCTGGGTTCCGGCTGTTCTCCTGCCTCAGCCTCCGAGTAGCTGGGACTACAGGTGCCCAACACCACGCCCGGCTAATTTTTTGTATTTTTAGTAGAGACGGGGTTTCACCGTGTTAGCCAGGATGGTCTCAATCTCCTGACCTCATGATCTGCCCACCTTGGCCTCCAAAAGTGCTGGGATTACAGATGTGAGCCACTGTGCCCAGCCGGTGAAACTCCGTCTCTACTAAAAATACAAAAAAAAAAAAAAAATTAGCCAGGCATGGTGGTGCATGCCTGTAATCCCAGCTACTCGGGAGGCTGAGGTGGGAGGATCGCTTGAACCCAGGAGGTGAAGGTTGCAGTGAACTGAGATCGTGACACCACTCTAGCCTGGGTGACAGAGTGAGACTCTGTCTCAAAAAAAAAAGAAAAAAGAAAAAGAAGAATTATACAACAAATATCAATTCATTACAGAATACTTTAGAAATTACAAAAAGCCAAGAAAAAAAAGAAAGGAAGAAAAAAATACCTATAATCCCCTTGCCCAGGGTAACCATTTTAATAGTTGAGCATATATCTTTCCAGAACATTTATTCCTGCATAAACATACAAATAGATATAAATAAATAAATAACATTCTACAAAATATGATTGTTCTTTTTTTTTTTTAGAGACGAGGTCTTGCCTTGTTGCCCAAGCTGGAGTGCAGTGGTGTGATCATAGCTCACTGCAGCCTCCAACTCCTGGGCTCATATGATCCTCGCCTTGGCCTCCCAGGTAGCTGGGACTGCAGGTATGCACCACCACACCCGGCTAACTTAAAAAAAAAAAAATTTTTTTTTTTTTTTTTTAGTAGAGATGGAGTCTTGTTCTGTTGCCCAGTCTGGTCTCAAACTCCTGGTCTCAAACAATCCTCCTAATCCTCCTGTCTTAGTCTCCCAAAGCACTGGGATTACAGGCTTGAAAATAGAATCATTCTTACCAATGTCACTGGCTATTTTTATTGAACAGTTTGACCTATTTCAATAAATAAACATTGAAATTATCACTCACAGCAGATGATTGACCTGTTGCTGGACATTGAGGCTATTTCTTTCTTTTTCTGCTATGATGAAGAATGCTGCAGTGAATATTCTGTATATACAAATTGCTCACAGTGGAATTGCCAGCTTCCTTTACTCAGCAAGTGTTGAATGGGCGCCTACTGTGTGTAAGCACTTCTGTAGGGTGGGGTGGGGCTCATCAGTGAACAAAACAAAAAAATCCTTTCCCTGCGCAGCTGGCCTTCTTACGGGATAACGAAAAGAAAAACCAGAAACCAGTTAGTTACATGTAGTACATTAGAAGGTGCTAAGGATATGCATGTTTAAAAATGATAAATGGATCCCCTGAAAGCCAATGGCACTGGGCAGCTTGTCAGTTTTGTCTCGGCCGTGCCTGGGCTCTGGTGAGTGCCTGTTCTGGGCTCAAGAACAGTGTCTCCGCTCTCCCTGCTCACCCTGCTTGACGGCTGTCCTCTGTTCTGGTCCAGATCATGGGTGAGACCTTAAAAGACCCCGTGATCAAGAGGTGCTGTGAAGCCCCAAACCGCCTCAGTGACCTACAGAACGTCAGCGAGGGCCTGGAGAAATGCCAGAAAAGCCTCAACGACTACTTAGATTCGAAGAGAAATGCTTTCCCAAGGTTCTTCTTCATTTCTGACGATGAGTTGCTTAGCATTCTGGGGAGCAGCGACCCACTCTGCGTCCAGGAGCACATGATCAAGGTCAGCCCTCTGGGTGTGCAGGGGCTCCCCGTGTAAGCCTTAGAACCGCCTTCGGTCCTCCCTGGTTCCCTTTGCCATGAGGTTCAACCCAGAGGGTTAAGACTGAAATGCTGCTGGAGTTGGTTTTTTGGTTTGTTTTTTGAGACAGGGTCTGGCTCTGTTGCCCAGGCTGGAGCGCAGTGGTACAATCATGGCTCATTGCAGCCTCCACCTCCCCGACTCAAGTGATCTGCCACCTCAGCTGCCTGAGTGGCTGGGACCACAGGTGCACACCACCATGCCTGGCTAATTTTTATATATTTTTTGGAGAGATGAGGTCTCACTGTGTTACCTGGGCTGGTCTCTAACTCCTGAGCTCAAGCAATGCTCCCACCTCGGCCTCCCAAAGTGGGATTACAGGTGTGAGCCACCACACTCAGCCCTCGAGTTTTAATTTGAAGTGTAAGCCTGATGATATTCACTGAGTCTGAAATCACACCAGATTCAGCTATTTTTCCACAGTCCAAAACCTTTCTTTTTATAAACTAAAAAAAAAAAAAAAACAAAAAAACCAGAAATATATGAAGACTAATATATTAAATAGGGAGGCATTAGAGGATAGTGGTTTAGCACATGGACTCTAGAACCAGATTGCTGGGGTTCAAATCTTTGCTCTATTCTGAGTTTCTGTGTGATCTTCGGCAAGTTCCTTGATCTCTCTGGACATCAGTTTCCTCATCTGTGAATGGACATAACCCCAATGGTTACCTGTTTCAGTGGAGCTGTTGTAAAAATGAAATGAGTTACTATTTATAAAGTACTTTGAACAGTGCCTACCTTTCAATGTTGGCTAAATAACCCTCTCCACTACCCAGAATTGGCACTTGTTACCATTTAGTCATATTTGGTTTGTCTCTTTTTTTTGTAAAGTTGTACAAATTTGCAATACTTTTTGTCCCCATCCCCATTCATACTTCCTCTATTTTCTTTTCTATTTTTTTTTTTTTTTTTTGAGACAGAGTCTCACTCTGTCGCCCAGGCCGGAGTGCAGTGGCGCGATCTCCACTCACTGCAAGCTCCACCTCCCAGGTTCACGCCATTCTCCTGCCTCAGCCTCCCGAGTAGCTGGGACTACAGGCGCCAGCCACTGTCATGAATTTGTTATGATTCCTTCCAGACCACAATTTCACACTTTTTAAATAAATGTATATGTATCCATGAACCATTTCCTGAATGGCGGGAAACAACAGAGAACACTGTCCCTTGTGATAGAGAACAGAGGCTGGCCAGACATGATCTTTGGCCTGCTAATCAAAGCTCTTTATCTAGCGTCAGCCTGGGCAGGGGCTCTGAGCCTCGGCGCTGCTGGCATTTGGGGCTGGATGACTCTTTGCTGTGGCTGCTGTCCTGTGCATTACAGGACATTACGTAGCATCCCTGACCACAACCTACTAGATGCCAGTAGCACCCCCTCCCTAGTTATGACAACCAGAAACATCTCCAGACATTGCCAATGTCCCCTGGTGGCAAAATCATCCCCGGCTGAGAATGAGTGTTGCACGGTAATTCCTCCATTCCAAATTAACAGAGCACTTAGGAACGAGTGCTTTCTCCTATTACTTTCCCTTTAATCAATGCTAACTTCCTTCTTAAAGTAAGATTCATATTTTCGACTGCATATTTTTCCTTTCTCAAAGGGGAGGCTTCTTCAGTATTCTGTTTCCAGTTTTTTTTTTTTTTTTTTTTTTTTTTTTCAGACAGGGCGTTGCTTTGTTGCCCAGGTTGGAGTGCAGTGGTGTGATCACAGCTCATTGCAGCCTCTACCTCCTGGGCTCAAGCAATCCACCCGCCTCAGCCTCCCAAAGTGGTGGGATTACAGGCATGAGCTATTGTGCCTGGCCTTCTGCTTCCACTTTGTAAACACATATTTTACTGTTGTAGAAAAATACAGTGTTAGGAATACTTCATTTACTGTTCGCCTCTTTTGCAAACCTCTGTTTTTATTCTTTAAAGCCTGTTTGTTGCCTTCCTCTCCTCTCTGATTTGTGAGTGCCTTGTATATGGTGGGCCCTAAAGGACTCATTGTCCTAAATGTTATTCTGATTAATAACAATGATAATAGTCAACAAATGCCAAGTGTTTAACAACATGCCAGCATTTGACTCAGATTGTTTCATTTGATTCTCCCAAGCCCACCTTGTTAAGTGCCATGATTGTGTTTATTCCAGGCAGAGAGAGGAGGAGCAACTCACCCATAGTTGCGCAATTGGATAGTGGGGAATCTGGGATTCCATCACAGGTCTCTGTTCCCCAGCCTGGGGTGTTAATCACCCTTCCGCCTCCTCCACGTTCCACTGGCTCCTATGTCCAGATACCTCCCCACTCCAGCAGGGTTAGGGACAGAGTCTGCTTTTTCTTTCTCTTTTCAATCCTCCACAGATCTTTGCACAGTACAGAGTAAATGAAAATCCCCAATAAGTGTCTTTGGGATGACCACACAGGTGGGTGAACGACATCCATCTTGCCTGCGATCTCGGCTCACCGGTTGCCATTGCTTGCATCGTGGCAGCTCTGCTGGATGGAGCACCGCTGGCTGGTCTTTGATTCCAGAACTCCGTGCAGGTCTTACAGGGCTGCCTCTCCCTGTTTGCAGATGTACGACAACATAGCATCACTGAGGTTTAATGACGGCGATAGTGGAGAAAAACTGGTGTCCGCGATGATTTCAGCAGAAGGAGAAGTCATGGAGTTTCGGAAGATCTTGCGGGCTGAAGGGCGCGTGGAGGACTGGATGACGGCAGTTTTGAATGAGATGAGAAGAACTAATAGACTAATTACCAAAGAGGCTATTTTTAGATACTGTGAAGACAGAAGCAGGTAAGGCTGCGAATGTGGACATGCATTGCTCTATCCAATTCATAGTCATAATGGATTAATTTTAAAGGCTTGGAGTAGATTGGCTGACATTCCAAATGAGGTTTTGTTTTTTTGCAATAGGTCATTAGTGGACAGATAGATGTCTTTATTTTTATTTTTTTGAGACAGGATCTTGCTCTGTCACCCAGGCTGGAATACAGTGGTACAATGGCTCACTGCAGCCTTGACCTCCCTGGTTCAAGAGATTCTCCCACCTCAGTCTTCAGTGTAGCTGGGACTACAGTTGTGCACTACCATGCCTGGCTAATTTTGTACTTTTTTGTAGAGAGGGAGTCTCACTGTGTTGCCCAGGTTGGTCTCAAACTCCTGGGCTCAAGTGATCCTCCCACCTTGGCCTCCCAAAGTGCTGGGATTACAGGTGTGAGCCACTGAGCCCGGGCAGTCTTTAGCATATGTGCTGCCAAAGCGAGCACAAGATAGCAGTCTTTCAATGATCACCCGATGCAGTACTCTCAAAGTGTGCCCCCTGGTGGCAGCACAGGGCCCCTGGGATTGTTAGAAATGCTGATTCTTGGGTCTTACCCTGCACCTGCCCATCAGAACTCTGGGGGTGGGGCCTGAGGATTTGTGTTTTTGCAAGCTCTCAGGGGATTCCCAGCACCCTTAGCGTGTGAACCCCTGACTTAGTGAACCACCAGAAACTAGGCGTTTAGTGGGATTATGTGTATGTAACGTTGTTTCTAAAATATTTACTGAATTTCCAACATTCTTTGATTTTTGTGGCTAGAGAGGCTTCAGGATATCATGCTGAGCCCTGCCTGCTCCTAGCAGCTGAGTGCAGTCCAACTAGAAATACAGAAAGCCTCTTTGGCTAACTTATTCTATTAGATTAGACAGGATCCCCCGTAAAGTTGGAGAATATTTGGCAGGGCCTTCGTGCAGACATAGAATCTTTCTTGTTATTATGAGAACACCATTCTCTTGATTTTGTACACTGCCTTTTTGATTTTACAAAGTGAAAACATCTACTTAAAAATTATTAGCGAATAGCATAATATTTATTTGATTATGATCCTGCTGTTTCCGAGGTACTGAGGCATATCAAAAATTTGTTTGCATCTTTATGTGGATATGTTCAGTGGATAAACTGGTAAAACTGGATGTCTGGAAAAAATTTTTTTAAAGCTTTGATTTAAAGCAGTTGCCAATTTCCATGGTGCAAATATTCCTGCCATGGCTGATTTCAAAGCTAAATGAAATAAGTGGTTTAACAACCAGCTTGCAAAATTCCAGAATATTCGACAGTTAGTCTTGTGACAGGAGGTGGCCCTAGCATTCATTTAACTAATATTTCTTCAACCCCTGCTCTGGGCGATTTATTATGCTAGATGCTATTTCAAAACTGAACTAGACAGAAATCTCTGCCTTCTGTATGTATTAATCACTGAATGTTTTAAATTATCTTTTCTGCTCCAAAATACTGTGAAGTTTACACCAGCATCAGTTGATTTTATTTTCACGATAGCTACCACTTTGCTAGGGCATTGCTATGTTTGGTAGTGCTGAGTTGGTGGAAGAGAGTAAGGGAATGCAGCCTGATGGACTGAAAAAGATCTTTTTCTCATCCAGATGCTCCTTTGAGCACGTGAACTTGTTGCTTCCAACAGGGAGAATAGTTGACATGAGCATGTGGTTTTATTTGAGCTGATAGGTGTGGCATCACTGAGAAGTTAGGGCCAGCTGTATCTAGTCCCAGGAAGCACCTTTGCCCTGGTCATTTAATCTTCTCTGATCCTATGGCCTCAGCTGCCACCTCTCCGTTTCTGATTCTAGGTTTGTCGCGTCCTTTACAAGGCCCGTCTTTGTTCATCATTTCGGTGTCGTCCTCTGGGCCTTCGTAATCTTTGTTGTCTCTCTCCTGATGTGTAGGAATCATGGATATAAGTGATCTTTAGGTTTTCGCTGCACCACACAATTTTAAAATAAAACAACAAAGGTCAATGTTATTTTTATTGCTTTTCCTACTTATTTATTTATTTATTTATTTATTGAGACAGAGTCTCGCTCTGTCACCCAGGCTGGAGTGCAATGGCGCTATCTCGGCTTACTACAACCTCCGCCTTCCAGGTTCAAGCGATTCTCCTGCCTTAGACTTCTGAGTAGTTGGGATTACAGGTGCACATCACCACACCCGGCTAACTTTTGTATTTTTAGTAGAGACAGGGTTTCGCCATGTTGGCCAGGCTGGTCTCGAACTCCCGACCTCAGGTGATCTGCCGGCCTCGGCCTCCCAAAGCGCTGGGATTACAGGCGTGAGCCAAAGCATTCGGCCTCCTACTCTTTTAAATTTATTTTGCCATTAACTGTAGGTCATCAAGATAATGACTATAGTAATCCGCAGTCACTTTTCCAGTATTGGCATTGTATTACTGTGTTTTCACACTGCTATACAGAAATACTCAAGACTGGGTAATTTATAAAGAAAAAGGTTTAATTGACTCACAGTCACGCATGGCTGGGGAGGCCTCAGGAAACTTACAGTCATGGCGGAAGACAAAGGAAAAGCAAGTACCTTTTTCACAAGGTGGCGGGAAAGAGAGAGAGAGAAGGAGGAACTAACAACCACTTATAAAACCGTCAGATCTCATGAGAACTCACTCAGTATCACGAGAACAGCATGGGGAAACCGCCCCCATGATCCAGTCACCTCCCACCAGGTCCTTCCCTCAACACCTGGGGATTATGGGGATTACAATTTGAGACGAGACGTGGGTGGGGACACAGAGCCAAACCATATCAGGCATTTACAGCTCTGAGTCCATTATTTTTTAAGTGCAGTTTAGAAAAAAAGCTTTGTCTAAATGTGTCTCAAGGCAATCACAAGCTTTGTAAGTTAGTGCCTCTGGAGAGGACATCCAAGTGGCCAATAAACATGAAAAGAGGAGAAACCCCACGACTCAGCAGGATCTGTACATTAAGGGAGGATGAGATGTTTTGTTTCACTTTTCAGACTGGCAAAAATTCAAAAGCGTGTTACAACCTGGCCTGCAAACCTGGGCAGTGTGGTCAGAGATTATGAAATTCTTTGTTGGAATTTTAATTTTCTTTCTTGAGACAGGGTCTTGCTCTGTTGCCCTGGCCGGAGTACAGTGATGCGAGCTCGGCTCACTGAAGCCTTGAGTTCCTAGGTTCAAGCAATCCTCCCACCTCAGCCTCCTGAATAGCTGGGACCACAGGCATGTACCACCACATCTGGCTAATTTTTGTATTTTTGGTAGAGACAAGGTTTCGCTGTGTTGCCCAGGCTGGTCTCAAACTCCTGAGCTCAAGCAATCTGCCCCAGCTTGGCCTCCCATAATGCTGGGATTACAGGTGTGAGCCACCGTGCCCAGCCTGGAATATTGTTTTACTTCTTACATAAACCTCAAATACTAAGTAAGTTTGAAAACCTATAATCAAATATTTTATTTTATTTTATTTTTTAGAGACAGGGCCTTGCTCTGTCACTCAGGTTGGAGTACAGTGCACAATTGTAGTTGGCTGCGGCCTCCAACTCCTGGGCTCCAGCGCCCCTGGAGTAGCTGGGACTACAGGCATGCGTCATTATGCCTGGCTAGTTTTTAATTTATTTTTTGTAGAGATAGGGTTTTGCTATGTTGCCCAGGCTAGTCTTGAACTCCTGGCTTCAAGTGATCCTCTTCCTTGGCCTCCCAAAGTGTTGGGTTTACAGGCGTGAGCTACCACGACTGGCCCCAAACATTTAAAAAGTGATCTGGCATCTTTCTGTGCAGTCAGGTACCTGCAACATTTTTTGTGGAGAGAGGCACCCTCGGCCTGGAATTTTACTACCTAGTCGGAGATAGGTAACATCTTACTCTCACCTAAGTCTTACTCCTCTGACTTACTTAGGTAAACAAATACAGGCACTTGCTTACCTAAAACCTTTACTTTGCCCTCCCTATTCCAGATCAAAGAAATAAATTCCTGAAGGGACTGTTTTGGGTACCAGTCCCCGGATTGATCAGAGCCTCTTACAGGTGTGCGTTTTCTGCAGAGTCGACTGGATGCTCCTGTACCAGGGCATGGTGGTGCTGGCCGCTAGCCAGGTGTGGTGGACCTGGGAGGTGGAAGACGTCTTCCACAAAGCGCAAAAAGGGGAGAAGCAGGCCATGAAGAACTATGGCAGGAAAATGCACCGGCAGATCGATGAGTTGGTAACGCGCATCACCATGCCGCTAAGCAAAAACGACAGGAAAAAATACAACACTGTTCTCATCATTGATGTGCATGCCAGAGACATAGTTGATTCTTTCATAAGAGGCAGGTGAGCATTTTCCGGGGTCACTGGCATTTCAAAAGGGACCCTTTGTGGTCCGCTGATCTGTCTCAACGGTTTCCACTTCCTCCACCTTTCTTGCCGTCCAGTATCCTGGAGGCCCGAGAGTTTGACTGGGAAAGTCAGTTGCGGTTTTATTGGGACCGGGAGCCGGATGAGCTGAACATCCGCCAGTGCACGGGAACCTTTGGCTACGGCTACGAGTACATGGGCCTGAACGGCAGGCTGGTCATCACGCCCCTCACCGATCGGATTTACCTGACGCTCACCCAGGTGACTGCCAGCCTGGCACTTGTGGTTACCACTTACCTTGGGGCGGGGCATTTTCTCTAAGCTTGAGGTGTGATGACTGCAGTGATTGAAATAGCAGGGGAGATCATTGCTTTGAAATCTCGAAAAGCTTTTCCATTTGGGATGTGACCAGATTGTCACCATTTGGGATTGGCATGTAAGTGTGGCCGTGCTTAGCCACTGGTACACTGGTCCCTAGGTAATGGTGTGTCAGGGGTATTGGTAGAGGCCAATGCGAAAATGCAGGAATGTCAAAGGTGGTGACTGTTAGGGCAAGTGTGATGTGGTTTTGCACGTCTTGTGACAGCTTTTATTCCAGAATATATCCGTTCAAGTGAACGGCCTTGGATGATAGAGATAGTGTCTCCCTCCAGGACAGAGGGTAAACTTGTTTGTTGTACAGGAAATGAAGATAACACTTCCATCCAGGCAGAGCTTGGGAAGGTTTGCAAGCAACCCCCAAGACTGTTTGTCAGATGCTTGCTAGTTTTCTTTTTTTAAATTAGAGATGAGGTCTTGATATGTTGCCCAGGCTTGCCTTGAACTCCTGGCCTCAAGTGATCCTCCCACCTTGGCCTCCTGAGTAGCTAGGACTATAGCATTCACTGCTGCACCTGGCTACATTGGTGGTCTCTTAGGCTCACAGTTTCTCAGCTGTGACTCATACCCACTGTGGATGTGGCATGCACCTGGGCCCGTCTCCACATCACACCATGGGATTTGGGGGGACAAGGATAAAGGGAATGAGTGAGAACAGGAAGCCCCTGCTGCCTCCTGTGCTGTGAGTGATAAAGTCCTTTGTTTTTGAGAAAAAGAGTGTCATCTTATCTGTATTGGTTAGGGTTCCACAGAGAAATAGAACCAATAGGACATAGCTAGCTAGCTGGATGGCTGTCTGTCTGTCTGTGTATCTATCTATCTATCTAATCTATCTATCTTATCCATCCATCCGTGCATCCATCCATCTACATATCCATCCATCCATCCATCCATCCATCCATCCATCCATCCATCCATCCATGTATCTATCCATCCATCCATCCTATTATCTATCTATCTATCTATCTATCTATCTATCTATCTATCTATCTATCCATCCATCCATCCTGTCTATTTATCATCTCGATCATCTATTTTATCTATCTATCTATCTATCTATCTATCTATCTATCTATCTATCTGGATATTTAGGAGGAGATTTATTATGAGGTATTGACTCATGTGATGATAGGGTCTGATTACTCTCACAATCTGCCATCTGCAAGCTGGAGGACCAGGAAGGCCAGTAGCATTTGAAGTTCTGACAGTGAGAGAGCCAATAGTGTAGACTCGTGTCTGGGTCTGAGGGCCTGAGAACCCGAAGTGCCAAGGGTAGAAGCCCAGTGCCCTGGCTCAGTCAGTCAGGCAGCACCAGTGTAACCTCCCTCCATCCTTCTGTTCTGTTCAGTCTTCAATGGATTAGATGATCAGGCAGCACCAATGTAACCTCCCTCCATCCTTCTGTTCTGTTCAGTCTTTAATGGATTAGATGAGGCCCACCCACTTTGGGGAGGGTCATCTGCTTTTCTCAAATGCTAATCTCTTCCTGAAACACACTCATGGACACTCCCAGAAATAATGTTTAGCCAGCTACCTGGGCATCCTGTGGCCCAGTCAAGTTGACACATGAAAGCAAACACCACATTCTTTCTCTATTCTGCACCTATAGTCACAGTGATGAATTTGGAAATGACACCCACTTCCTTCTGTGCACCAGAAAACATATGTTTTGCATTTGGCTTATAACAGGCGCTGTCCATGTATCTAGGTGGGGCCCCCGCCGGCCCAGCAGGAACCGGCAAAACCGAGACCACCAAGGACCTGGCGAAAGCCTTGGGCTTGCTCTGTGTTGTCACCAACTGTGGCGAAGGCATGGATTACAGGGTAAGGCCTGGCTGTCACCTTTGGTACTGGCTCATTAGGCAGAGAGCTTAAAGCAGGACATGGCATTTCACCTCCTAGTCTTTGACATGGCGACAGTGGAAGAAGCTAGTAGAAAACCTTCCACCACCACAGCCCCAGAACCTAAGTGTGTCTGCTTAAAGACCCTGCTTTGTTAGCAGGATGTAGAGCAAGAGTCCCGGATTCACTACCCTAGTAGGGTCAGGTTGATAATGTACGTGAGTAAAGCGGCCAGCAGACAAGAGAGTGGTGGGATCTGTGGCTAACTGGAGAGCAAAAGTCCATCTAAAGAGGGTGCCCGTCCAGCTTTGGTTCATAATCACCATTTGGGAAAGTGGACCCAGCATTGCTAGATTTTCCCACATTTCAAGAGAAGAGAAGAGAAATGGAGTTTTACACAAAAATCTGGATTTGTAAAATCCCAAGTAGGAGCCAGCCCATGAGGGGCCTTGGAAGTCCTGCCAGAAAAATCCACTAGTCAAGTGGCTGGTCACCTGCTTCTCTGCCAATCAGTGATCTCATTGTTTGCTTTAATTTAGAAAATATATCCATAAATGTGTTGCTTGCAGTTTTAAAGATGAAAATTGCCCTTGTCCTGACATGTCTTTCTTCCTAGGCCGTGGGGAAGATTTTCTCTGGCCTGGCACAGTGCGGGGCTTGGGGCTGCTTTGATGAGTTTAATCGAATCGATGCTTCTGTGCTCTCCGTGATCTCCTCCCAGATCCAGACGATCCGAAATGCTCTGATCCATCAGTTAACCACGTTCCAGGTGAGACACATGAAGCCCCCGGGACCATGTCCCTAGGATGGAAGTTTGCCAAGTATGGTAAGCTTCCTCTGTAGCGTCAGTTTCTGGGCCGTTGACACTCCAGACCAGGCTTCCTGTAGAAGATCTGTTGGTTTTTCCAATTGAGATGATTGGGTTTCCAAAATTATCATCATTGATGATAAGGTTTGTAATAGTCCAAGGACTTCACACTGACTCCAGACACAGAACCAATAGTTATGAATGGGCGTGGGGCAGAGTTCTCAAATAAGTGATGTGCAGGGTCCCCTAGAAAGGAAACAATATTCTTGGCGACTTCCCAAGTTTGAGAAAACCTGACTTAGAAAGCGAATGTTCCTTGCAATCATTATCACAGTGAACAAGAAATTTTGCCTTCATACCTTGTGAAGTTACGGCATCATAACAAGCAGGATTTGCAAGGTTATCAAAGTGAGAAGGCAGAATTTTAAAACAATTGTTGAGAATTCACCAATTTCTCTCTGCCAAAGAATATGTTTGCAGACTTGAGTTTGAGAAGTCTGCATTAAATTACACCAGATTAAGCTGGATCCAAATTTGGAGAAACATGATCTTATTATGTAATCTAGGTGGCCCAGAAGGGGATTCTCTGAAAACACAGGACCAGCGTGGGTGGGCCATTTCCCTACACCGGGGTCTTCTGGGTCCCTTGCTGTCCTTCTGCCTCTGTCCTCCCCCCTCCATGCCCTGCACACTTGTCACTAAGCCACTTGCTCCACAGTCATACCATGCCTTGTGACACCACATGTGTCCCCATCTGAGTGGAATTGTCCCTTCTTCCCTTCACTGGAAAACTCCTATACATCCTTTAGAGCCCCATTCCAGGATGAAAATTCAGCTTGAGCTGGTGGCCCTGTCATCTCACATGCGTCCTCCTCAGATCTTGGCAGGGCTCACTGTTAAGAGATTGTGTCAGCTGGAGACTGTTCAATATTTTCAGGATTCCAGTAAAGGGTCTGGATAGATTTCCCTTTGATGAGTTCTTTTGAGGGATTTTTGGGGCTGAGCTGACTGCTCCCGAGAGAGGGAATTAACCTGCAATGTATATAGATTTCCAGAAGCTGTGTTTCTCAGAGCCAGGAGGCAGCAGCTATCTGCTCTTCCCCCTGGGCCATCTGGGCCATCTGGGCCTCTTGTGGGATACTGAGGCTAGGGATGGTCTCAGGGCCGACCTATGAGTCAAGGCAGTGGCCTTGTTTTGGGGGAGGCTGGCTGTCTTCCGGGCTGCCCTCTCGTTGGTGATGCAGACTGTGCCTCCTAACAACAAAAATTTTCTGTCCTCTGCCTGGCTGGTGGACAATCAAAAAAAATAAAATAGAAAACTTCACCGAGAGACGACCGGACTCAACCTTCAGCTAAAAAGGCTAAGAATATAGGGATTTCCGTGGTTTGTTGGTACCTGGGGCAACCAGAGGAATGAAGACTGGTTTCTTGAGGGGTTTGAGGTGGGATTCTTTAGGCAGGAGTGACTGCATGAAGTCCAGGCACCCGCAGAAGGTGCAAAGCCAGGTGAGAGGAATGGAAGCCGGCGCTGTGTGAGGTGGTGGGCTGGGCGCTCCCAACCTGGGCTGTCTCCTTTCATCGCCACAGCCGTGCCACGAGGTGGGTTGCATTTCTGTTGTGCAGAAAAATAAACTGAGACTCAGAGAGGTTAAGTGACCTGCTGAGGGTCACACAGCTTCTTGTATCAGCCCCAGACTCTGTGCTTCGCCAACCTGGGCCCCTTCTCCAAGGTAGTGCCCTGGGTTCAGGTCTGAGTTTGGGGTTCCACTGAGACCTGCCCTCCCCAAGGCCTTCAGCGAGGGGGGCCCTGCATTGAACACCGGGGAGGGAAAAAGAGACAAGTGGTGTTGTCAGCCTCATACCATGAAAATGAATCGCCACGCAGCTCGCCGCAGGCCCCCTTTCCAAGGGGCTGGCCGGCCGGGCCACCTAACTGCTTCTTTCTTTCTTCCTTCTTGCCCTCCAGTTTGAAGGGCAGGAGATTTCCCTGGACTCCCGCATGGGCATCTTCATCACCATGAACCCCGGCTACGCAGGCCGCACGGAGCTGCCCGAGTCGGTGAAGGCGCTGTTCAGGCCTGTGGTCGTGATCGTGCCCGACCTGCAGCAGATCTGTGAGATCATGCTCTTCTCTGAGGGCTTCCTGGAGGCCAAGGTGGGGGGCCTTGGCAGCGCCAGGTCGTGCAGTGCAGACTTCACCCGGGTCTGCTTCCAGACTGGGGACCTAGGACGCGTTAGCTCCGTGTGGCTCTTCCAGACGGGACCTAGGATGTGTCAGCTCCATGTGGCTCTTCCAGATGGGACCTAGGATGTGTTAGCTCCGTGTGGCTCTTCCAGACGGGACCTAGGATGTGTTAGTTCCATGTGGGTCTTCCAGACTGGGGACCTAGGATGTGTTAGCTCCATGTGGCTCTTCCAGACTGGGGACCTAGGATGTGTCAGCTCCATGTGGCTCTTCCAGACTGGGGACCTAGGATGTGTCAGCTCCGTGTGGCTCTTTGATTTTTGTTTTTTTTTTCTGCTGTGTCTCTCTTCTTCCTCCCCCACCTCTTTTTAAATTATAACTTTTAATTTTGGAATAATGTAAGATGCACAAGAGGTTGCAACAATAGTAGCACGGACTTTCCAGGTGCCCCTTCCCCATGAGAACATCTCACATAGCCACAGTCCATTGCCCAAACCAGGGAGTTGGTGTTGGCACAAGTGCCATTAACTCAGGTGTAGACGTTGTGTGGATTTCACCAGGTTTCACATTCTCTCTATGGCGTGTGCGTGTAGTTAGTTCTATGACGTTTTATCACATGTGGATGGGAGTGGCCGTCACCACATCAGGATACAGAACTATTCCATCACCACGACCACAAAGAAGAGAGACAGGGTCTTACTCTGTCACCCAGGCTGGAGTGCAGTGGTGGGATCACAGCTCACTGCAGCCTCAAACTCCTGGGCTCAAGTGATCTTCCTGCCTCAGCCTCCTGAGTATTTGGGACCACAGGCAGATGCCATCACACCTGGCTAATCTTGCTTATTTTTTGTAGAGACAGGGTCTCTACAGCCCAGGCTGGTCTCGAACTTCTGGGCTCCAGTAATCCTCCCACCTCAGCCTCCCGAGTAGCTGGGACTACAGGTTGTGCCACTGCACCCAGCCTCATGTTACTGCTTACTAGACACATTCTCCCCTCAACCCTAACTCCTGCAACCCCTGATCTATTCTTCAGTCAGTGTAATTTTGTCACTTTGAGAATGTTCTCTACCTGGAGACATGTAGTATGGAACCCTTTGAGACGGGCTTCTTTCACTCAGCACAATGCCTTTGAGAATATGTAGATTCAAAAACAACTTTATGGATAACTTTTATCCTCTTTTAAGCTATCTATAAAATGTACATACGTAAGATCTTTCCAGAAGCTCTGGAAAAGTTACAAAATAGAGAATACTTTTAACATAGAGGGTTGTCACATTGCGTTTCTGCAATATGTCTTTTATTGAAAGCTCTTGGTGCCTATTACCGTGTCAGGATTTTGAGTTGGCACGATGAGATCTCTTGTTCCTAGTTTTCACGACTAAAATTGCCACACTTGCCTTAGAGACCTGTGGGTTTTGAACCCTTGCCATAGATGAGGTGGCTGACTTGTCCTCAAAGACATTTACAGCCTTTTTTTTTTTTTTGAGATGGAATCTTGCTCTGTCACCCAGGTTGGAGTGCAGTGGTGTGATCTCAGCTCACTGCAACCTCTGTCTCCCAGGTTCAAGCGGATTCTCCTGCCTCAGCCTCCCAAGTAGCTGGGATTATAGGCATGCGCCACCACGCCTGGCTAATTTTTATATTTTTAGTAGAGACAGGGTTTCACCATGTTGGCTAGGCTGGTCTTGAACTCTTGACCTCAGGTGATCCACCCACCTTGGCGTCCCAAAGTGCTGGGATTACAGGCATGAACAACTATGCTTGGCCCAGTTACAGCCTTAATAATAGGTTTAGGTCAAAATAAAGAAGCAATGTATTTCTGGAGTGTGATTCCTACAGATGGTTCTGTTCTTTAAATTAAGATAGTGAAGATTTTGGTAACACAGATGTTTCTTCAAATTAGTTCCCAATTTGCCATATTTAAAAATGAAGGACCCACCCTGGTATTTCTGGAAGTTAGAGATGGAATTTGCTTATTTGTAGAGCAGCTGCACTGGAACACCTGCCCCCGTTTTCTTGCATTTGTAGAATGATGCTCCATTGCTTTTGAATCATTTTCTTTTTTCTTTTTTTTTGTATTATTATCTTCTATCAAAAAGACTCTGGCGAAAAAGATGACGGTTCTGTATAAGCTGGCCCGGGAGCAGCTGTCCAAGCAGTATCACTATGATTTTGGACTCAGAGCCCTGAAATCGGTGCTGGTCATGGCTGGTGAGCTGAAGAGAGGCTCCTCTGACCTTAGGGAGGTAGGGGCCACGTGCTGGAACATTCTCTGGTTTCAGCTGCTTCAGGCATTTACTACGTGCCATTGGGGAGGTGATGGGCACAGTATGGTATCACCTGAAAGGTTTAAGTCTTAGCTGCCTCTTCACCCCGCGGTCTGGCCTTACTTTGGCCTCTTACCTGTTGTATCGTTTGCTTGTAATTACACTTAGTACCTTAAGGTCAAGTGCAATGTCTTCGCTCCAATAGCAACATTTATGATGCTTCCATAGTAATAATCTGTAGTCTCAGGATGGGTGTGGCGGAAGGGTGGGGACTAACAAAATTCTCATGAAAGCATGAAGGTGAGTTGTTATTTTCTCTTTGAAACAAAAGAGGGGAACAATTGTGTTTTTTTTACATGGACTTTAAATAAAAGGTTTAGTCAATGTTCTGTGGGCAACAGGCTTACCTGTTTCTCTAGTGACTGTACTCAATGTTGCACGCACACACGCACGCACACACACGCACACGCACGGACACACGCACGCGCACACACACACGGATACATGCACGCGCACACACGTACGCACGCACATGTACACATACGCACACGCACGCACACGCACACGCACACACACACACATTTGGGTAGTAAAAAAAAAACAGCCGTGAGTGCAGTGATAGAAGCCTGTTTGTGTCCATAGGAGGAGAGGCTGCCACAAATCGCTTCATTCTTTTGGGATTTTCACACATTTGGGTTTTTTTTTTTTTTTTTTTTGGAGGGGTCGAAGGAAGAGTTATTTATGCTCTTACAAAAAAGGAAGCTGTAAAATGTAAAACACTATAAAGTCAGATGGAGCTGCATTCGTCATTTGTACTTCTTTTTTCTTAGGAGAAAGGAGTTATATGGAAACTTCTTTCATTTTCTCCCCTGCTCCTCTATGTCCAAAGTTGAAGGGCGATCATGCTATTGAGTGGGTCATATCTTCTGAACTGAAAAACCACCGATGCCACTTTCAGTCTTAGCAACAGGGAAAACAGTCTCAAGTGCTATCTAAGGCTCTACGAAGAAGAGTGAGGCCGTTTGCAGCAGTCTCTCCTCCTAGGGCGGTGAATATGGTCCCATCACTGCACTCACTACTGGCTTGTTTTCTTTTACTGCCTTACACTGAACCCAAGCATGCATTCATAGGCTCAACTGCTGCACAATCTGGTACTTCCTTAGAAGAATGAAAACACATTGCAAATACCGAATATCCAAGGACTTCCGAGAAAGAGGTAAAAAACAGCCTCCTTTTCTAGGAGGAAAATCCCTCTTCTCATCCAGCAATGTGGACTTACACATGTAAAACTGTGTTTGTACAGAGACTGCGATGGTTTCTTCACATAGGAAATTAACTTTGCTGTATTGTCTTTGGGCTTCTTTATCACATTAAAAGTTTGCAAGCTTGGACCTTTGTTCTTATTCAGTAAATCTATGTCACAGGATGAGTGAGGATTTAGCATCTTTTGCTTCAAATTAGAACCACATATTTGGAATTTACTGCTGCAGTTCTCAGCTGCGCTTATCATGACAGTGGTGGAAACTGGAGGACATTAAAAAGCCCATGAAGTCAGCTGTACTTGCCATTTATTTAGTCTTGTTTGGAATAAAAGGTAAAGAATTCACAAATACCACCACCTCAGCACCTGTTTCAAAGGAAACATCAGGCTTCAGCTTGCAACATGATGTCGTTACAATTAAGCAAATAGCAGAAGCCCCCGTCAGTTGCTTCCTTCTTCTGGAGAAGGCGGGGAACTGCAATCCCCGGGGCTCCTGTGTTGAGTCTGGGAGGCAGAACAAAAGGAAAAGTGGCCTTTTCCACTCCACATCCTGGAGGTAATGGGTAGAGAAGACATACCCACATTTCCAGATAGTGAACGCTGAGTAGAGAAGCAGGACTACCTGTCCTAGGAGACAACATAGAGACGCTTGCCAGGTCCTGAGTTCAGAATTTTGTTTTTGAGATTTATATAAAAGCACCTAAGGCTGGGCGCAGTGGCTCATGCCTGTAATCCTAGCACTTTCGGAGGCTGAGGTGGGAGGATTGCTTGAGGCCAGAAGTTTGAGACCAGCCTAGGCAACATGGCAAAACCCCATTTCTTTCCAAACAAATACCCAAAACTAAAAAATTTAGCTGGCTGTGGTGGCACACTTCTATAGTCCCAGCTACTTAGGAGGCTGAAGTAGGAGGATTGCTTGAACCTGGGAGGTGGAGGCTGCAATGAGCCGAGATGGCACTATTACACTCCAGCCTGGGTGACAGAGCGAGACCCTGTCTCAAAAAAAAAAAAAAAATAATAATAAAAAGTATATATATATATATGCGCACCTAAAGGTCAAAGTAAATGTTCTTCCTGTAATAAGGAACCTTTGCTTTAGCGTAGATGGCCATACCCCTCTGTAAGGTGGGGAGGAGGAAGTTTCTGCTCCTTCCCTCTGGCCGAGATCTGTTTTCTTCTCCTTGCACGGCCCACCAGGACACTCAGCCTCCTAGGAGCAGGCCCACCCTGGCCTCACTCCTCTGCCTGTGCTCCTATTTTATATTTTATTTAATTTTTACATTTATATACAATTTTGTATTGTATATTTCACTTTTATATATTTTATTTTACATTTTTATTTTCATATGAAACTTTGAAAAATGCATATTTACATTTATATTATTTATATGATCATTATTAAATATGAAATATGAAATTTCATATATTCATATTACACATAATATCTTATACATATTTTATACTATATAATATACATAACATTTTATATACATTTATAAATTTATATAATTTATAAATAATACAAATATAATTAATTTATATGAATGATATAAAATATATAAATTTTATAAAATTTAATTTATATAAAATTGTAATATATGTATATAATTTATATATAATTTTATATTTCATTTTAAATTTTATATTTCATTTAAATATATATGTATGTGTATATATATGTGTGTGTGTGTGTATATCTATCTATCTATCTATCTTTTTTTCGAGACAGAGTTTCACTCTTGTCACGCCAGGAGTACGATGGCGCAATCTCAGTTCACTGCAACCTCCACCTCCTGGGTTCAAGCGATTCTCCTGCCTCAGCCTCCCGAGTAGCTGGGATTACAGGCACCTGCCGCCACACCCAGCTAATTTTTGTGTTTTTAGTAGAGATGTGATTTCACCATGTCGGCCAGGCTGATCTCGAACTCCTCAGGTTATCCACCCACCTCAGCCTCCCAAAGTGCTGGAATTACAGGCATGAGCCACTGCACCCGGCCATATATGTGTATATTATATAATATGAAGTACATATTATATGAAATATATGAAATATATATTTTATATTTTATGTTTAATCTCATGTAAACTATTTTATATAATTTATATTTATTTACATATTAATATAAAATAAAAAATAAAATTATATAATTTCTGTATATAAAAATATATAATACATATATTCAGAAATTATATAATTTTAAATTAATTTCTGTAATTTAAATTTAAATTAATTTAAATTAATTTCTGTAATTTAAAATTATGTAATTTTAAATGTGTATAAAATTGTTAAAAATAATAAAATGTTTATATAAAAATTATATTTTATATTTCATAAGAGTGTTACCACTGGGTTGGAAACACAGTCCAAAGCACTGGGTTCCTTTGGAAATCTCTTGGAAACATGTGTTTCATTTCCTGCAGGACGTGGTGCTGATGAGGGCCTTGCGAGACATGAACTTGCCCAAATTTGTGTTTGAAGATGTTCCTCTTTTCCTTGGTTTGATTTCGGATCTGTTTCCTGGGCTGGACTGCCCTCGCGTCCGCTACCCTGACTTCAACGATGCGGTAGAGCAGGTCCTGGAGGAGAACGGCTACGCGGTCCTACCCATCCAGGTAAAGCCAGGAAAATGACCTCACTGTGGCCGTGCATCCTTTCCATTGGCTTTTTGTTTTTGCAGTTCTTTAAAAATATATGTACAGTAAAATACGCATAAGTTTCACCATCTTAACCATTTTTCCCCATTTTTAAATCACAGTAAAATACACATAACAATATTTACCATCTTACCTACTTTTAAATGTAGAGTTTGTTAGGCCGGGCACAGTGGCTTACGCCTGTAATCCCAGCACTTCGGGAGGCTGAGGCGGGTGGATCACGAGGTCAAGAGATTGAGATCATCCTGGCCAACGTGGAGAAACCCCATCTCTACTAAAAATACAAAAATTAGCCGGGCGTGGTGGCGCTCGCCTGTAGTCTCAGCTTCTTGGGAGGCTGAGGCGAGAGAATTGCTGGAACGCGCGAGGTGGAGGTTGCAGTGAGCCAAGATCGTGCCACTGCACTCCAGCCTGGTGAGAGAGCGAGACTCCGTCTCAAAAAATAAAAGAAAAAAGAAAAAATGTAGAGTTTGTTGGTGCTAAGTACATTCACATTACTGTGCAACCATCAGCATTATCCATCTCTGGAACGTTTTCATATTGCAAAACTAAAACCCTACACCCGTTAACAGCTTACCTTCTCCCCTCCCTCCGCTGGCAACCTCTGCTCGACTTCCTGTCTCTACAAATTTGACTACTCTAGGTACCTCCTGTAAGTAGAATCATGTAATTTTTGTCCTTTTGTGTCTGGCTTATTTCACTAACAGTGTTTTCAACATTTATCCATGTTGTGGCATGTGTCAGAATTTCTTCCTTTTTAAGGCTAAATTTTATATATATAGTTTTTTTTCACACAATGTGATCAGGTGACTCAAATATTTTGTTTTGAGGCATCAACCATCAGAGGTTCTTTCCTCACCTCACCTTTTTTTTCTCCTGAGTCACACTTAAAAAAAAATTAAATTAGATATTGCAGGGATAGGATTTGGATCCTCTGAAGCCTGTAAGTTGTATATGTTGTCATTAAGCCAAACACGTATTGATTGGCAGAGTCCTGCTGAGAGTGTAAATGCCCAGAGCCTCCAGACCTGGGGGGTTGCCTCGGGTCGGGCAGCTTCAGGGTGTCAGGCTACCCCGGAGACCTCAGGCCTGGGCAGTGGGCACCGGGTACCGGCCGTGGACGAGAGCTTTCTGTGCTTTTCCTGACCCTGATTTTCTCTGGAGTTGGTTGTTGAAAAAGATGTGTTTTCTGGAAGGAATATAAAATGGTGCAGCCACTTTGGAAAACAGCCTGGCAGTTCCTCAACAGGTTAAACCGAGAGTTACCATAAGACCCAGCAATTTCACTGCTGGGGATCTACCCAAGAATGAGGACGAACGTCCGCTCAGAATTGTTCATGAATGTCCGGAGCAGCATTATTCATAATAGCCAAAAAGTGGGAACAACCCAACATCCATCAGTTGATGGATCCACTGCTGAAACAGAATGTGGTCTGTCCATCCCATGGGATATATTTTGGCCATAGAAAGGAATGCAGCACGCGTGCTACAACATGGATGAGCTTTGAAAACATGCTAAGCGAAAGAAGCCAGATGTGAGAGATCACACATTCTAGGATCCCATTTCCATGAAATGCCCAGAATACGCAAATCCGTAGAGACAGGAAGTAGATGAGTGGTTGCCAGGGGCTGGGGGAAAGGGGATTGGGAGAGATGGGTACAGGGTTTTTTGTGGGGAGGGGTGATAAAAATGTTCTAAAATTGCTCATGGGGATGGTTGCACAACTCTGTGAATATACTGGAAACCATTGACTTGTACCCTTTCAAAGGTAAATTGTATGGCGTGTGTGTTGTATCGCAATAAAACTGCGTCAGAAAAAAGATAATGTTTTAGCCCAGCTGCCATTGTTTGTCCCGCAGGTGGATAAAGTGGTTCAAATGTTCGAGACCATGTTAACCCGCCACACGACGATGGTGGTGGGGCCCACCAGAGGGGGCAAGTCCGTCGTCATTAACACTCTGTGTCAGGCCCAGACCAAGTGAGTATGACCTCCGTAGGGAGGGCCTGGCTGCCACAGGGGCTCACAGTATATGTTTGGTGCCAGTATTACCAAGTCCCACTTTGCTCTCTGATTTCCTGGGAGGGTAAATTTGTAATACACACCCCTTTCGACTCAGCGTGTTTTTACTGACTTTATTGCAGACTTAGTTAAGATATTTTAGAATGCAAAATAGCAACCCGCTTGTGCATCAGATGGTGAATAGGTTCATTTGTGAAATGAGAATTTCACAAACTATCTTATAAGGATATTTTGAAAATGAATGTAAGTCATAGTTTCTTGGGGTCCAAATTGCTTCCTTAAAGTAAGTCAGGATTCACCTTATGCAGTACTGCTGTGGTTTCGCAGTGGCCAGAAAACGAATGTCACCTCCCCGGGTGCCTTATAATCGCTAGCCCTTCGGGGGCAATTCTTCACGAAGGAAAAAGTGATCGTACACTCCCACATTGAAGATCGTAAAGGAGCCAGGCATGGTGGCTCACGCCTGTAATCCCAGCACTTTGGGAGGCCTGGGTGGGAGGATCCCATAGTCCAGGATTTTGAGAACAGCCTGGGCAACATAATGAGACTCCGTCTCCACATTAAAAAAAAATTAGCTGGGTGTGGTGATGTGCACCTGTAGTACAGCTACTCAGGAGGCTAAGGAGGGAGGATTGCTTGAGCCCAAGAATTTGAGGCTGCAGTGGGCTAGGATTGTGCCACTGCACACCAGCCTGGGCAACAGAGTGAGACCTTCTCTCTAAAAAAAAAAAAAAAGGAGAGTATGTCATAAAAGCCTGCAGTGAATTGAAAGCCTTCTACTGAAAGTGGATTCCTGACTCCTCACTTCTCTTCTAAGCAATAACTAGATTCCAGAAAGACCTCCGTGGATGCTGATAGCCCGGCAAAAATCTAAATCAAGCCAAAGTTTCTGTGACTTAAACATTTCTAGGCAGTCTATAAAATCTAAAGAGTAAGTGTCTGTCATATGTTCCCATTATTTCTTCATATGTTTCATATGAGAAAACCAGTCGACAGTGGCTTACTGACTCTAAGTGGGCTGTGCCGTGGCCATCTGCATTTCATTCTTTAATTCATTCATTGTAAGTTTATAGAACTATCACACAGTTGTATGCATGTGTAATATAGCATGTACATTATGATTTACTGATTCGTTGGTTGTGAACTGTGGAGTGTGTGAAGTTTTGTTCTCTATAGATGAATTAATCCTATAGTTAGTGCTGCAGGGATTTACAGGCACTGTGGTGAGAAATGCCCTGTCTGCTTGATTCATGAAGTCAACAGAGCAGCTGTTGTTCTGTAGATAAGGAGGATTGAACATTAGTAGTCCAAAGCCTTGTTATTATCGTGGATGACTGAGTGTGGTCTCCTATACGCCCTTAATTCTGAGATATTTACTTAAATGTCATATATATGAATATGTAATATGCATAAATATGAAATATACATGAAAGTTAGCTTCTTGGTGCCCTCCAGAGGCAAAGCTGTGCTTCTAGTTCAGACTTCATTTGTGCTGTGGCCACATTTTTGGTGAAATGTGGTTGCTTTATATTTAGAAGAAAGCACTAACAGTGAAGGGAAGCCCAGTGAAGAGTTTGCATGGGTTGCATTTTCAATTTTGGATTAAAGTCAAAACATCTAATTCCTCATAGAGGGAACCCAGACTGTTTTCCTCATGCATTTAGTTGTCTTGAACCATGGCTAAAGCCTCTCTTGATTTAGGCTTGGGCTGACGACAAAGTTGTACATCCTGAACCCCAAAGCCGTGAGTGTCATAGAACTCTACGGCATCCTGGACCCAACCACCCGAGACTGGACAGATGGGGTGTTGTCAAACATCTTCAGGGAAATCAACAAGCCAACAGACAAGAAGGAGCGAAAGTGAGTATCTTTGTAGGTAGGAAAGAGCCTGGGTTAGTTAATGTTAATTAGCTCAACATTAAAAACGGTGGCAGGACTATACATTGTAGCTTCATGCTTGGATTTCAACAGACTTAGAGTCCAGTCTTGGAGGCTGTGCTTCGGAAGTGCGCAGTCCAATCTTAGTGCTTTTTATGTGTGACCTCAGTTGTCTTAGTGATGCAATGTGGTAGGTACCGGGATTGTTCCCAGCTTACCACAGAGGAAACTGAGGCCTAGAAAAGGTCAGAAATGTGGCCCAAGGCCAGGGATTTGGCCCTGATCTGTGTGACTCTAAGTTCTCAAACACAGCCGCCATCAAGCTGCCTGATCACCACGTTCTATGGCAAGGTAAGTCAAGGAAAGGTAGCAAAGGGCCATGGAAAGTGCAGGAATGCCCTCCTGAGCCACGGCTTTCCATCTGTAGACGTGGTTGATGGTGCCCTGATGACATCACCACATGCCATGGCAAAGGCCAAGTGAGGCCAAGTACAGAAATGCTCTGAGGGTGTGTAAGGTAAAAAGCTTTTAGTTGGTCCTATAATATCTCTTTGCTAAACTCAGGAATGGTTCTGATTTTATGTTCTAATCAAATCCCATTAATAATAAATAAAATCCTTAAATAACAAGAGTCCAAAGTCCCAACTCATGGCTTTTAAAACAGCTTCTTAGCGCTTTTCCCCTGATTCTGGATGAACCCAGGATTCCACGCTGAATTCCGTTGTCTTGTTTTTGGCATTCTTTAATTTTGAGCAGTTCGTCAGGATTTCTTTATCTTTTATGACCTTCCTGTTCTGGAGGATTCCAGGCCAACCGTTTTAGAGAATGGTCTCGGTTTGGGTTTGTCCGCTGCTTCTTCATAATTAGATTCAGGCCATGGCTGTTTGACAGGAAGGCTGCAGGAGTGATGCTGTGTCCTTCTCCGCATCTCATCACGGGCACATGGTGTTGGTTGCCCTATTATGGGTGGTGTTAATCTTGATTATTGGGTTAAGGTGCCATTTTCCTCTTTGCAGTTGATATGCAACTCTAGGGAGATAACTTATGACTAAGTAAATATCCCATTTCTCATCCAACCTTCACCCATTCACCCAATGGTTTGGAGCATCTGTTGATGGTTACTTGAATCTGGTCATCCTCCTCCTCCTCCTCCTCCTTCTCCTTCTTCTTCTCCTCCTCCTCTTCCTCTTCTTGTTCTTCTTTCTTCTTTTCTTTTTTTTTGAGAGGGGTCGTGCTCTGTTGCCCAGGCTAAGTTCAGTCACATGATCACGGCTCACTGCAGCCTCAAACTCCTGGGCTCAAGCAATCCTCCCACCTCAGCCTTCCAGGTGGCTGGGACTGCAGGTGCATGTCACCATGCCCAGCTAATTTTTGCTTTTTTTTGTAGAGACAGAGTCTCCCTGTACTGCCCAGGCTTGTCTTGAACTCCTGGGCCCAAGGAATCCTCCTGCCTCAGCCAACTACAGTGCTGAGATTACAGGTGTGAGCCACCATGCCTGGCCGTTGAGTCCTTTTATAGTGAATATAAATGGAGACTTTCTATAGGGACAACTGGTGAAATTTGAATGTGGACTATACATTAGATAATAGTATTGTATCAATATTACATTTCCTGAGTTTGATAATTCTGCTGTGGTTGTGTAAGAGAAGGTGCTTATTCTTAGGAAATACTTGCTTAAGTATTTAGGGGAAGGGGGCATTTTATCTGCAATTGACTCTCAAATGATTCAGAGAGAGAGAATAAGAGAGAGTGCGAATGTGGCAAAAAAACGTAACAATTGGGGAATCTGACTGAAAGGCATATGGGAGTTCTTCATACTGTTTTATTCTCATAACTCTGTAAGTTTGAAATTATTTAAAAATAAAAAGCTAAAAGGAAAAAAATACAGGAAGGAAATAAACCAAAATGTTAATCCTGGAAAAAAAAGATCTAACTGCTTATATCAGTGAGTTAAATGGAGGCACTATCAAACCACCATTTCAGCACAGTAGAATAGCCTCTGTCCTGTGGAGATGGGCTTTGCTGCATGAGATGTCACCCATTATAGCCACAAAATGGAACCATCCTGAAGCTTGAATACCTGAGGCCTTGGACGTAGACGTGCTGCCAGGACACATGGTGTGTAACCCAGGGCTTGTGAACTCAGATGCTCCCAGGGACCCAGCAGGTAGCACAAATGAGTGAAGTGGAGCAAATTACATGGTGGTGTTAGTTTCCTAGGGCTGCCATAACAAATAACTGGGTGGCTTGAAACAACAGAGATTTATTATCTCATAGTTCTGGAGGCCAAAAGTCTAAAAAGAGGTGTGAGCAGGACTGCACTCCCTCCGAAGGCTCTAGGGCAAATCCTCACCTCTTCTGCTTCTGGTGGTTCCAGGTGTTCCTTGGCTTGTGACCACATCATTTCAAACTTTGCCTCTTTCTTGGCCTTCCCCTCTGTGTGTCTTATGTCTCCTCCTGCTTTTCTCTTATAAGGACATTTGTCATTAGATTAGGACTCATCTGTATAATCCAGAATGGTCACATCTTGAGATCCTTAATTGCGTTTGCAAAGGCCTTTCTCCAAACAAGGTCACAGTCACAGCTTCTGGGTGAACACATCTTTTGGTGGGGGGTGGGTACCATTCGACCCACTACACATGGACATCCAAAATACTTTCTTTATTCTTGACTGTACCACAGGAAACCAGGGGTTAAAACCAGTGATAAATAGCAATTGATACTCAGCCTCAGATGTAAGAGAAGAATGAGGTAGGAGTTGTGGCAGGGGCAGGGACTATGACACTTTCTGTCTTCATGGGCAGCCACTACTCAGCATCAGCTGATTGTTCCCACGAAGGAATCCAGGTCTGTGTGCTCAGAACTTCCAGCTTGCCCAAGAAGTGAGAAATTCAGATTTTTGTGTGAAGTTCCCTCATTCTTAAATATTGGCAAAGAACTCAAACTTTTTTTTCTTTTTTTTTTTTTTTTTTTTGAGACGGGGTCTTGCACTGTTGCCTGGGTGGGAGTGCAATAGTGCTATCTTGGCTCACTGCAACCTGTGCCTCCTGGGTTCATGCGATTCTCCTGCCTCAGCCTCCTGAGTAGCTGGGATTACAGGCACACACCACTATGCCTGGCTAATTTTTTGTATTTTTAGTAGAGACGGGGTTTCACTATGTTGGCCAGACTGGTCTCGAACTCCTGACCTCGCGATCCGCCCACCTTGGCCTCCCAAAGTGCTGGGATTACAGTTTTTTATGTACCATTTCAGTCAAACCTCTGGGCCAACTAGGGTGCTCTGTCTCAGATACTGGGTAGAAAACCCTGGGAAAAAGACATTCAACATGAATGGGCAGGTTATACCAAGTTCCATAATTGGAAGCTCTCTAGGACCCATGGCTCTCCTTTCTTTGGTTGCTGCAGGTATATTTTATTTGATGGTGATGTGGATGCTCTATGGGTGGAAAACATGAATTCTGTGATGGATGACAACAGGTTGTTGACATTGGCCAACGGGGAACGCATCCGGCTCCAAGCACACTGTGCCCTGCTCTTTGAGGCAAGTAGTGATTAAAAGTAAATTTGAACATAAATCTTTCTTGTAATTAAAAATGCAAATGTTTGTTAAAGTAGTAGTAAATGTAGATGATTATTTAAAAACAAACAATGCATAAGGGTTTATAATGAATACAACTCTTTGTTCTTTACTCCTCTCATCCCTCTTTATCCCAGAAGTGACTACTTTTACTTTTTATGAATTGTTTCTTCTGATGATTACCCTAGTGTCTATAAGTAACAGGCTTAGCATGATATTCTTCCTTTATACATTTTATAGTTTATACATTATCTGTTGACTGACTGCTACAAAAGTGAGAATTCATCTCTTATACCACTAACGTCAGAATAGTATATTGCTAAGTTGGTTAACAGTAGATAATGTTTACATTATAATGAAGATAGAAATAATTTACTGAAGAACCAACTAATATACTACGATTACATTTACTTTCTTTTAGAGCCATTTCCTTTGTCTAGAGTTTGTAATTGCCTTCCTTTTTTTCCCTCACACTATTTGCCTTTATTTTAATCTCATTTTTTTTTTTAAACTTTCTATCATATCAAGTATTCTGTCGAGCCCCTTTATTTCCTGGAGGCTATTCTCCAAAGCCCTCTATCTCTTAGGATATGGACTGCTCGTTTCATAGGTGTGGCCCTGGGACTTGCTTTCACTCTAGCTTAGTATTAATGCCATTTCTAACTGTAAAATTTGTCAGTGCATGAAATATTTGTACATATTATTATCTGATTAGCTGACTGAACTATATTTTTTTTGTAGAGAGAGCTAGGTTTGTTAATATATCTGGTTTAGCTTTGTACTTATGAAGTTTTATACTGCCTGATCTCAACTATGTTAAAAAAATAATAAAGAAAAAAGATTGACTGGAAAACACTCCAAAACAACATTTGTTTCTGGGTGGTGGGATTTGGATAACTTATTTTCTTCTTTATATTTTTCTATTTTTTGTCAGATATTCTACAACGTATTAATTTTCACATTAATTTTATAATAGAAAAACCAAAAAGATGTTACATCAGAAGTGTGTAATCTTCTCATCAAAATCCCAGGTGTTCAGTTAAAAAGCTCATGGAAGCTGTGTTGATTTTGGTATTATTTGGATTTCATGCAGTTGTAAAAACTTTCCATAAGAGAAGGTCCTTAAACATCTAGTTTATCTTGTGTATAGCTATAGCCATGATTGATTTTCTTTATTTATCCAGGTTGGAGATTTACAGTATGCCTCCCCTGCAACTGTCTCTCGATGTGGAATGGTTTATGTGGATCCTAAAAACTTGAAATATCGACCATACTGGAAAAAATGGGTTAATCAAATACCAAACAAGGTGAAATTTTTTTCTAAAATGAACTTAAATTTATTAGTATTGATGGCTAGTTGGATAACATAGTCCAGAGGGATGTTTGTAGTTGAAGGCGATGACTTTGTCCTTGACCTGCCCATGTCCCTGAGCACAAAATAAGTGAAAACATGGCAGACACACTTTTTTTTTTTTTTTTTTTTTTTTTTTTTTTGGAGACGGAGTCTCGCTCTGTCACCCAGGCTGGAGTGCAGTGGCGCAATCTCGGCTCACTGCAAGCTCCGCCTCCCAGGTTCATGCCATTCTCCTGCCTCAGCCTCCCGAGTAGCTGGGACTACAGGCGCCCGCCACCACGACCGGCTAATTTTTTGTATTTTTAGTAGAGGCGGGGTTTCACCGTGTTAGCCAGGATGGTCTCGATCTCTTGAGCTCGTGATCTGCCCGCCTCAGCCTCCCAAAGTGCTGGGATTACAGGCGTGAGCCACCGACACACCGACACACTTATTTAATTTCAGATAGTTTATAGCCAGTGGGATAGGTAATGATTGGATTGGTTGGTCTAGACCAGAGGTTGACAAACTTTTTCTGTAGAGGGGTAGATAGTAAATGTCTGAGGCTTTGTGTGGGCAATATGATTTCTTTCACAGCTACTCAACTCTGCTGTTGTGGCATGAAAACAGCCAGAAATTTGTATACAAATGGGCATGGCTGTGTACCAATAAACCTTTATTTACAAAACAGATGACAGGCCAGAGTGTGTGTTGTCTTAACAAAAGGCTTCTGTGAAAAGTGCAGAGATGGATGTGACAGTCACGTGCGGGTTGTGGCTCAACCACACCTAGGACGCTACGACCACCTTCTCAAAGGAACACAGGTGTTCTGGGTGTGTCTCTAGTAGGGCTACTAGGTTGGAGGTGAATGGAAACCAGGACATAATTATGCCAGAAAAGAGCAGAACAAAGGAAGAACAAAGGAAGCATGACAGAACCATCTGAGGCACTGTCCTGTGGGAGACAGCTGTCTCAGGACCCTTGCAATCCCTGGTGGTGATTGGTGCTTTGATAGGGAGGGGACCTTCACTGCTTTACAGTCTTTTCTGGATGACTGTGGTCACTTGAACTCTAAGATGATCAGCCTCTTTCCTGTCAAATGGGACCTGTTATCTTCCCTTTTTCTTCCCCAAGGGCATGGTAGACTCTGTGGCAGCGAAATGAAACACTTCATGATGAGATGAAAGCATATTGCAGAGGACAAATCTCTCTGCAAATATAGGGCACTATTATCAGGATTTCCTCACCTGCCAAATGTATCATTCATCAGAAGATGTTGCTCAACCCTCTTTGGGCAAGAAAAGCTTTCCACTAACTTCCATTTAAATAAACAAACCCTTGAAATGCTTTGGAATGCTACTTTTTTATAGGTGGAGCAATACAATTTGAATAGTCTCTTTGAGAAGTATGTGCCCTATCTCATGGATGTGATAGTGGAAGGAATTGTGGATGGAAGACAAGCAGAAAAGCTGAAGACAATAGTTCCTCAGACAGACCTCAATATGGTAAGAAATGATCCCTGCTGTTAGCAAAAAGAAATTCTTTCCTAAAGACAAGCTCACGGTAGGGTTTTAAAGGGAGTGAAGATGCCAGACAGGGTGAACAGTAGCATTGTTGGTCAGTGCCAAGGCGGGCGCCGTGCTTGCTTTTGTGCAAGTCAAGATACTGGGTTCCATCTGTCTGAACCAACATGTTGGGTCTTATGCTCCCATCGCTCTGGGACCTGGGATCCCAGGATTTATGACTGGAATGGACTCTGTGGGGGTGGACTATGTGGGCTGAACCAGATATTTTCCTGTGAACCAGGTAACCCAGTTAGCCAAGATGTTGGATGCGTTGCTAGAAGGAGAAATAGAAGACCTTGACCTGCTGGAGTGCTACTTCCTGGAGGCTTTGTACTGCTCTCTGGGAGCCTCCCTGCTTGAGGATGGAAGGATGAAATTTGACGAATATATCAAACGCCTTGCTTCTTTGTCTACTGTTGACACAGAAGGAGTTTGGGCCAACCCTGGGGAACTGCCAGGTGGGAACCGAGTGTCGCCTGTTTCCCTGCTCTGAGTGCCTTTGGTTAAATTTCTAGAGGAAGTGAATGAGCTTTTCCATATTTCTGTCTGTATGAGTTTTCCAGATTGTTTGCTTCTTTAGAGAAACATGCAATGGTCAGAGCACATGGCGGAACACCCAGGAGCGGTTCACATGCATTGACTGCTGTGACAGAAGCCCAGGCCCTCTGGGTGGTCTTTCTGGATGAGAGTCAACTTCTCTTGCCTCAGCTTAGGCACTTGCTTCCTTTGCTCTTTAAACTTTTCACATTCTGCATGACTTTGAGTTTCTTCTTCTGTGGGCTTCCCTATCTGTCTTTTTAATTTTTATTTTTAACCATCTATCTCCATTTTCACCATATCATTCATCTGCTGTATTCCTGAGTATTTGCACAGTAGACAATCAAGTGTGGATTTGTAAATCGTTCATAGGAAATCATACAATTAACATTTTATGTTTTTGCACAAAAATGTGCATCTTCAATGAATCATACATGATGAAAAAGATGCATTCTCCAAGGTCTATATGCAATGGTAGGACCCTTCTTTATCCATCTCTTATTGCTATTCGAGCATGGCTTGGAATGTAGATGGCTTTTGAAGTTGTATTTTATACTCCTTACCTGGTGGTCTTTTTAAAGTTTAAAATGAAATGGCCTCCGGTCTTTCTAATGGACAGTCATGGAGCAAATCAAAGATGTTTTTCAGGTCCCTGCTTTATTCGGTGGGAGTCTGAGTGCACTTTTCCAGAACTGAAATCTCCCTTTGGGGAGTGCTTTTCAGCTCCGCCAGCCACGCTGGCTGTGCGTTGCTGCCATCTGCAATTCCCTCACTCGGAGACAATGTTGGCCTGCTTCCCTGGCTTGTCTCCCTCATTTGCCCTCATCTTGGGGGCCTGAATGGCCCTGTGGGCATCCCATTTCCAGACACCTGCTCACAGCTTCAGCCCTGCAGGCCCTCGAGCATACGCTTGACGGTGATCTCTGGCACTGTCATGTCTGCATCACAAATCCTGCTCTCCACCTACTCTGCCTCTGAGACTCGGGCCACATGTGTTTCTGTTTGGCCTCATGGGGATGGACACTGTGTCGCCCCAGTGTCTGCTGTTGCCTCGAGCACCCATACTTGCCCCTTCCCTGCATCCTCACTTCCTTGGCTGGTGGCCTTCACTTCAGCCACTCTTGCCTGAGACCTCCGCATGCCTTGCCTAATTGCTCTGCTGAATCCCTCCGAGAAAACTCCAAGTCTGTCTTCTCTGCCTGTCTAAGGGCTGACAGGGAGAAGACCATGCAGCCACAAAGACAGATGTCTCCATAAATCCCAGTCCCCAGCTGGCACACTCACTCCTGGCTCCAAAGGAGCATTGGGCCTTTTCCCCAAATATCTACCCTGCCCTTTCCGCGCTCTCCGCAGCTGATCTTTCTCCCTGCTTCAACAGGAACAACGGAAGCTGTCTGATAGGAATCTCTCCTTCCAGCTGAAAAGCCTATAGCTCCTGTCTCTGACTTTCTCCTTTTACAGTGGAAGAGGCCACCCCCACTGCACCCCAGCCAAGGCCAACCCAGCCCCTTCCTCCTTCTCAGGCTCCTCGCTCCATCTGAGTTTATCTCTCTCTCTCATGTTCAGTCTCCGCCTCTCTACCATCCTGTCAGCTCTTAGACATGCTCAAGTAAAGCCTTGCATGGCCTGAGCGGAGGCGATGGTGATTACTCGGGCACCTGCAGCTTCCATCTCTCCCCTGCCCCGCCTGGGTTGCTGCCTTCCCGCATTGTCCGTTGTTCCTGCCCCTCTCCTGCTGCAGCACTTATGGCTCCACACTGAAATGGCCACTTCTTGCCTGTATCTGTCCCCCACCTGGCCCTCGAACAACTGCAAGGGTAGGGACCAGGGCTCTCTGCTTCACTGTTGTATTCCCAGGGAAGTGTATGTCCAGTGAAAGGGAAGTGTTAGTTGAAAATACTCAGAAAGTGCCTGACAAGTGCACAAGTCACATTAGTGACTGTCCCGTGAACTAGAAGCATAAGCTCCAAATACTTGGCATCTGTCCAGTGATGAGTAGCATTAGTTCAAGGTACTCGGTATCTGTCCAGTGAAGGAGCAGCATTGAAGTACTCACTATGGCCTCCGTGCAGTACAAGCAACATTAGTTCATTTCAAGCATGTGCCAGAACTGCTTTTGTATTTCCGTGTTTATGATTCAAGTGAAATCAACCATGATTTCCTGCAGGTCAACTTCCAACCTTGTATGACTTTCATTTTGATAACAAACGGAATCAATGGGTCCCATGGAGTAAATTAGTTCCAGAGTATATTCATGCCCCCGAGAGGAAATTCATCAACATCCTGGGTAAGTCAGAGTCAAATCCTTGTTCCTGGGTTTAGGAGTGTGTGATACTCGCTCTAGGAGGAGGCAAAGAAGATCCCATGGCTTCTCTGGTACTCTAAGTCCCACGCAGAGAGCTGGTAGAGAAGAATTGAAGAGGGTGAGCTGTGGGCCCTCCTGGGCATGGAGGGTGGCCGCTTTGGTATTTTTGTCAGCTGCTGGCTCTGAGCATCTTCCGTGGCTCTGCCTCTCAGCTCTTTCCCCAGCAGGCCGATCCCCACAGGCAGATGAGATGCCGTTTCGCCTCCCCTGGCCTTTCCCTGGGCTCTCTTCAGTCCACAGAGCTGGCTGGGTGGGGACTAGACGGCAACGAACGAGGCAGTGTTTTATAAAGGGCGCTGGCTTGAAAAGCTGTGTGCCATGGGCGTTTACCTACTGAACCACACTTAGAATGCACCCCTCTGGCTGTTCAGATAAAATATAGGCTGGCTATTCAGGTAAAATATGGGCTGAATAATTTCACAAAGCATGTGTCTGACTTTGGTCCATTGAGCTTACGGAGTGAGACATCCCTGTTTTCTCGGGAGCCCATCAGGGTTGAAACCTGCCAGTGCAAGAGGGAGCCAGACCCGATGCTGTGGCTTCACTGTCTCTTCGGAGGAAGGTGTTGCTCAGGAAGTTAAATCCCGCAGGGGTCTGAGTGATGTCAGCAACAAAGAAGCTGAGTTTTTGATATCCTGGCATAAGTCAGAATTGCATCTCAAAACCGGCTTGGGCGTTCTAACCCTGGACTGTGGTGATGGTCGCGCCGCTGCAGAACTGTGCCAAAGTCAATCAGTTATACACTTCAATGGGTGAATGTTTCTGAGGTCATGTCTTGGCCTTTGCTCCTGTTTTTTATGGGATTTGTGGGGTTCTAGGACAACTCCATGTTGCCCCCAGTGCTCACCCTATTGGAGTTGCTGAGATGCCCCTGTTCCTAATGTCTACTTTAGTTCACACAGTGGATACCACTCGGACTACCTGGATATTGGAACAAATGGTTAAAATTAAGCAACCTGTTATTTTTGTTGGTGAATCTGGCACTTCTAAGACAGCCACTACCCAGAATTTCCTCAAAAATCTGAGTGAAGAAACTAACGTAAGTCATTATTCATATGAATTATCTATTGCTGTGTAACAAATTATTCCAGTGCATAGCAGCTTCATACCACAAGCACTGTGATCTCACAGTTTCCGTGGGTCGAGAATGTGGGAGTGACTTACCTGGGAGCTTCTAGCTCAGGCTCTCATGGGATTGCAGTCAAGCTGTTGGCCAGGGCTGTAGATACCTGGAGGCCTGGGTAGAGCTGGAGGATCCTCATTTGAGATGACGTTTCACATGGCTGGAGGCTGGAGGCCTCAGTTCCTCACCATGTGGCTCTCTCCATGGATGGCTTGGGTGTGCTCAACATGGTAGAGTGAGTGCTTAAGATAGATGGCAAAGCAGATGCTATGATGTCTTTTATGACCTGGCCTTGGAAGTCACATACCCTCCCTTCTGCCCTAATCTATGGGTGAGATAGAAGCCACCCTGTACACCCTGATATAGTGTGGGAGGGACCTGCACCAGGGCATGGACACCTGGAGGTGAGTATGATCTGGGGCCCTTTTGGAGGCTGGCTGTCACATTATTCACCATCATTTTTGGGTTTCTAAAACTTTGCAAGTGTTTCCTTTCCTTCCTCCAGCCAGCTATGTGTCCAATGTGTCGGGGGTCGGATATGTACCTGGCATAGAATTCGCAGGGTGCACAGGACAAGTGATAGTGAACAAGCTGTCAAGATCTGTTCTGTAGGGATTTGCAGGCAGTGGGGGGATAAACATGGAGATGTGCACAGGGAGCATGGCAGTGTTTACAGCCAGAGGGACCTGCAGGTTTGTGGAGTCAGGCACTAGGAAGCCGCATTTGGGAGCCTCCTTCACAACACCCCTACCCCAGGACTCTGCAGCTGGTGCTCATCAGCCCAGCCAGGTACACCTGAACACAGTGGCTTTAGCAAGGTACACATTCAGCTTCAACACGTTCAGCTCATGTGCACCTGCACTTTGGGTGCCCTACGTGGAGAGAGTTATGGAAGGCAGAGGTTCGTTCTCAAAGTGTGGTCCCCAGACCGGCAGCCTTGGCATCACTGGAAACTTGTTAAAAAAATACCCTAGACCACCAGGAATGGTGGTTTGTGCCTGGTAGTCCCAGCTACTCAAGAGACTGAGGAAGAAGGGTCACTTGAGGCTGGTAATTCAAGGCTGCAGTGAGCTATGATTGTGCACCACTGCACTCCAACCTGGGCAACAGAGCAAGACCCTGTCTCCTAAAAATAGCAAAACAAAAACACCCTGATCTACCAAATTGGAAACTCTGGGGAATGGAGCCCAGCAAGGTGTGTGGCACAAACCCTGCAGGTGGAGCTGATGCATAATTAGTTAAGTGTGAGAACCACTAATCAAGGAGCTCTCGCCAGCCTAAGCATGGCAGGAGGGCCTGAGGACACATGCATGAGCATCCAGGGGGCTTCCCTCACCCTTCCTGCCGGCAGTTAGTCCCAAAGCCTGAACCACTTGTTCATGCTCTCTTTGACCTATTTAGATACAGCCAGCATGATAGTGATTTATGTTTGAATATTGTCATATTGAAAATACTGTTGGATATTGCATCTCATACGATGCAATAGCTCTATGAAGTAGTCCTAAGAGATGCCATTACGATCGTCTTACAAGTGAGAAAAACGAGGCTCTGAAAGGTTGAATGACTTTTTGGAAGTCGCCTTGCTAGAACTGTGCAGAAACAAGACCCTCAGTCTACTTTCTTGTATGCCACATTGTCCCCAAGGCTCACATGCGACAATTCGCTATTGACTCATACAATCTGCTGAAAGGAAAGAGGAACTCTTACTTTAGCACTTAGAAAATAATGAAGCACAGTCTCACACTGGGTTATTAAAAAGTTAGTTCAGAGGCCAATGGATTTGCAAAATAGTTGCTAGCTTATTTGCAAATGTTTACTGCTGCTACCCTGGGGAAAAAGCTGGCTTTTCACATCATCTCTTTCTGCTTCAGATTGTGTTAATGGTCAACTTCTCCTCCCGCACCACGTCCATGGATATCCAAAGAAATTTAGAAGCAAATGTGGAAAAGCGAACCAAAGATACTTACGGCCCACCCATGGGAAAACGCCTGCTGGTGTTCATGGATGACATGAATATGCCAAGGGTAGTTTGACGCTCAAGCAGGTGGAGGGATGGGTCAAGACAGTGCTTGTGTTTGCATGGGTGTGTGTGTGTGTTAGAAGTGAGTATGAGAACATTGATCTTTACCTCTGTGCAATGTCTGCAGGGTACAGGCTGCGGGGAGCCAGCCTAAGGCAGAATGTACCTGGGATGCTCTTCTTACACAGAGGGACCTTTCCCTGACTGATCATGTTCCTTAGTTTCTTAGAGGAGGGAAGCAGGCAGCCAGCAGCCTTTGAACTAAATTCAGCATGTATTTGAGGAAGTGGTTTCCAAAGGAGCTCTTATTTAGATAATAATACTGTTGTTGGCCCCGTGTACATGGGAGGCATCAGGACAGACCCTTCCCAAGAATTCCGCTGGACTCTTCAAGGAAGAGAAACTTCAGCTGCATTATGAGTATGTTTCTGGGATCTGAGCCTGAGAAGTGCAAAGTTTTCTTGGCATACTAGAATTTAAATTTATATTATTTCATTGAACCATTTTTTTCTGAAAGTCTATTTCCAGAAGGACTGTATGCAAAGCCAGAGTCCGTCCGTCCATCCATCCATCCATCCATCCATCCATCCATCCATCCATCCATATGTTCATTCATCTATCAGTCTGTTCTTCCATTCATCCATCCATGTGTCTGTTTTTTTCATCCACCCATCTGCTATTTACCTACCTATCTGTTCACCCATCCAACCATCCATCTGTCCATTCATTCATAGATTTGTTCATCTATCCATCTATTCTTCTTTTTGCCCATCTGTCTGTTTTTCCATCTACCTGTCCATTTATCCATCTACCCGTCCATTTATCCATCTACCCATCTGTTCATTCACCTGTCCATCCATCTACCCATCCACCCATCCATCCATCCATCCATCCATCTACCCATCCATCCATCCATCCATCCATCCATCCATTCAATGGATGGTCCAATCTGTCTGTCATTATCAATGTATGAATTAATTACCCAATGTCTTTGCTTATGTTAAATGAAGAAAGGACAAATGCTTGTCTTAAAGCTTGATGCTTTGTAAGCCCCTGAGTTGAAACAGGTGAAACCAAGAGAAGCAGAAGTGTCGATGTGTGGACAGGCATATCACACCCCCTGGGTGGCACTGCATTGTTGAATTCTTGTCTGTCCATCTGTCTGTCCATCTGCCCATCCATCAATTTGTCCATTCGTCCATCTGTCCATCCATCCATCCGTTCATTAATTGAATTAACATATATTTATTCAGCTCTTCCTATGGGACTGGTGCTGTGTAGTCAACACCTATGCAGTTCCTGCCCTCATGAAGCTGTAGTATCGTAAGGGAGACAAACTTCAAAAAACACAATCACAAATGGATATATACAGTTGCAACCTTTGAGAAGCCCCATGAAACTGAAACCGAGGTGCCCTGGAGAGTAACGGGAAAAATGAGCTTGAGCTGGGATGGTCAGCCAACGCCTCTCTGACTCCTACTTTGCGATACTACTGTTCTCTTTTCTTTTTTAAAAAAAATCAAGGTGGATGAATATGGCACGCAGCAGCCCATTGCCTTGCTGAAGCTGCTGTTGGAAAAAGGCTACTTATATGACCGTGGGAAGGAGCTGAACTGTAAAAGCATTCGAGACCTTGGCTTTATTGCTGCAATGGGAAAGGCTGGAGGAGGCCGCAATGAAGTTGACCCAAGATTTATTTCGCTATTCAGTGTCTTCAATGTGCCATTTCCTTCAGAGGAGTCTCTGCATTTAATTTATTCCTCCATCCTGAAAGGCCACACCTCGGTAACTTGATTTTAACTAGAAGTCTAAACCGGAAGACCTTGTGTTGGGGGGAAACATACACAGGGCTGACTTATCCATGTAGGCACAGCAGGGTTAGGGCCCTCAATACTTTTAAGGGCCTATGAAAATGTTTTAATTTCTTGCAAAATCAGAAGAAAAAAATCATCTTTATACGATGCCATTATAAAATGTAATTGTAATGTATTTTTATGGAGGAAGAGGTCCATGGAGGTAAAAGTGCCTTGGGCCCGTGGGAGTCCTGATGTGGCCCTGAGGTGCTCATGCCACATTGAGTGACAGCGAAGAATCAACTAGCAGGCTGGGGCCCTGGAGTCAGTCCCCTTCTGCTCCGGGAGCAGGTCTCTTGAACTCTCCTAACCTCATTCTCATTTGGAGCGGGGAGATCATGATGGTCCCCACCTCACTGGGTTTTGGGAGGATGAAAGGAGAGAAATGCGTGTAAAGGGTGCCTAGTGCACACTGCCTAGTGCATAGCAGCTACTCATTGGTTACTAGTTACTGCTGTTATTATTATGATTTACTTGGCTCCTCCAAATGGAACCCATTCATTTAAACAACCATCTTCTGATCTGGCGTTTCCCTGCTAAAGCGGAGTCTGCACACTCGGAGGCTCCAGGGGCCAGGTGGGTAAGATAAAGGTGTGGAGTGGCCAGGCCTGATCAGTAGGAACTATGAGCACCTGGCCCGTTCATGCCCTACCTGAAGGCATTTGCTTTCAAAACGGTGAGGTCCGTGCTGGTCAAATAAAACTCCCACCGAGGGCTGGTTGGGGTCTTTGGTTTCACATCATGTTGACTTCACAGTTAATGTGAAAATCTAGAGCAATACAAAAAAATCAGGCCCGGTGCAGTGGCTCACGCCTGTAATCCCAGCACTTTGGGAGGTTGAGGCAGGTGGATCACTTGAGGTCAGGAGTTCAAGACTAGCCTGGTCAACATAGCAAAACCTCATCTCTACTAAAAATACAAAAATTAGCCGGGTGTGGTGGCAGGCACCTGTAGTCCCAGCTACTTGGGAGGATGAGGCAGGAAAATTGCTTGAACCTGGGAGGTGAAGGCTTTAGTGAGCCAAGATCATGCCACTGCACTCCAGCATGGGCAACAGAGTCTCAATCTAAAATACATAAAAAAATAAAAAAATTAAAAATAAGTAGTAAAATTCACATAATGGCTGGGCATGGTGGCTCACACCTGTATCCCAGCACTTCGGGAGGCTGAGGAGAGCGGATCACTCGAGCCCAGCAGTTCAAGACCAGCCTGGGCAATGTGGTGAAACCCTGTCTCTACAAAAAATATGAAACATTAGCCAGGTATGATGGTGTCCTGTAGTCCCAGCTACAAAGGAGGCTGAGGTGGGAGGATCACTTGAGCCCAAGAGGTCGAGGCTGCAGTAAGCCCTGATCATGCCCCTGCACTCCAGTCTGGGAAACAGAGCAAGACCCCATCTCAAAAAAAATTCACATAACACAAAATTCGTTATTATAGCCATTTTAAAGTATACAATTCAGTGGCACTTAGTCCATTCACAGCGTTGTGCAACCATCAGCAACGTCTAACCCCAGAACATTTTCATCACCCTGGAAGGAAACCCACACACATTAGCACTTACTCCCATCCCACCTCTCATTCCCAGGAACCGTGACTCTACCTTCTGTCTCCATGGAGTTTTCCATGTTGGGTATTTCATATAAATAGAGTCATAAAGCACGTGGCTTTCTGTGCCTGGCTTGCTTCACTCCTCATCATGTTCTCAAGGGTCATCCGTGCTGGAGCTTGTGTCTGTCAGTGCTTCATTCCTGGTTTGTTTTATTTTGTTTTGAGATGGAGTCTCCCTCTGTCACCCAGGCTGGAGTGCAATGGCGTGATCTCGGTTCACTGCAACCTCCGCCTCCTGGGTTCAGGCGATTCTCCTGCCTCAGCCTCCTGAGTAGCAGGAATTACAGGTGCGCACCACCATGCCCAGCTAATGTTTATATTTTATTTTAATAGAGATGGGGTTTCACCGTGTTGGTCAGGCTGGTCTTCAACTCCTGACCTCAGGTGATCTGCCCACCTTGGCCTCCCAAAGTGCTGGGATTACAGGCATGAGCCACCGTGACTGGCCAACTTCATTCCTTTCTATAGCTTAGTAATAGTCCATTGTACGGCTCTGCCACATTTTGTTTATTCACTCATCTACTGAAGGACATTTGTGTGTTGGGGGGGGTGTCTTTGCATTTTTCAGACGTTTCATGAGAGCATTGTGGCTGTGAGTGGCAAGCTGACATTCTGCACGCTAGCACTTTACAAAAATATTGTGCAAGACCTACCTCCCACTCCGTCAAAGTTCCATTACATCTTCAACCTTCGAGATCTCTCACGGGTTTTTAATGGTCTTGTCCTCACTAACCCGGAGCGGTGAGTTTGATTTATCTTACTAAAATATGCCCCACAGGTATGATAGTTTTCTTATTCTTTTAAGACAGAGGGCTTATCAGTGGATTTGATGAATCGTTGTATGAATTAATTACCCAATGTCTTTGCTTATGTTGAAGAAGAGAGACCAACACTTGGCTTAAGGCTTGATGCTTTGTAAGCCTTTGCATTGAAACAGGCAAAACCAAGAGAAGCAGAAGTGGGGACAAGCCTATCACACCCCTTGGGCAGGCTGTGTTGTTGACTTCTCGTTTTCAGTTCTGAAGTTGGAATTTGCCTGCATGGAGCCTTTTGCTCACATAACTCAGTCGTTGCCGGTTGGTTATAGGATGTGTGTCTTTATGAGAAGTAAGCAGAGGACAGAAAGGATTTAAGTCACGATATAGGGAAATTCCCGATTAAAACTAGGCTTATACCTTTACATGAATGTCTACTTTAGTCTATGTGGATTTGCAAGCATAGTCCAATTATGTGGATTCATATTATGAATCCAGAAGATACTGAAAAATGAATTGAGAATTTTCCATGTATCCTGCTTTTGAGTGCCTTGAAACATACAGACTGTCAGGGGCGGTCAGGAGAGGGCAGCTCCAGGTGTTTCAGGTGGAGTGACGGTTCTTTGCTAGAATGCAGGGAAAGTTCTGGAATTGGGGCCAGATTGAGTTGGCTCTTAGAAAAAGGAGCTGTCGGCCAGGCACAGTGGCTAATGCCTATAGTCTCAGCACTTTGGGAGGCCAAGGGAGGAGGATCACTTGAGCCCAGGAGTTTTAGACCAGCATGGGCAGCATAGTGAGACTCCATCTCTACAAAAAAATTTAAAAAATTAGCTGAGTGTGGTGGTATGTACCTGTAGTCCCAGCCACTTGGGAGGCTGAGGTGGGAGGATCACTTAAGCCCAGGAATTTGAGGTGGCAGTGAGCTATGATTGTGCCAATGCACCAGCCTGGGTAACAAAGCGAGACCCCACCTCTTAAAAAAAGAAAAAAGAGAGAAAAAGAAGTTGCCAGTGACCCTGATGCTGATTTTAAATTCATGTATTCCAACAAGTAGGGATGATGTCAGGTACTTATTTTACGTCATTTATAGACAACGCTCTTTTTTTCTTTCCTACAGTAAGATAAGCTACGGATGATGACTTTAGGGGGTTTACATTACTTTCTTAGCTTCTGTTGGATTCTCTGGTTAGATTTCATTAACGTGAGACTAGGGGGGCACGACTGGAGAAATGTTGGGCCTTTATTGCGCTCTGTGTGTCTGTCTGTCTGAATGTCACAGCCGTCAGCCCTGGTATCCTTCAGGTGACTTCCTGGCTGATTTTTGTCCCTTCCATTCTGCAGATTCCAGACGGTGGCCCAGATGGTGAGAGTCTGGAGGAATGAGTGTCTGAGAGTCTTCCACGACCGGCTGATCAGTGAAACAGACAAGCAGCTGGTCAGTACATCCAATGCTTCTTCTCAGGAAATTCTTCTCAGGAAAATAAACAAGCGCCAAAAGTGTTTTTTATATTAGGACGCGAATTGTGGAAAAATAGGCACGAAAGGTCAATGGGGCAAAGGAGGGTGGGTGGGTTATTAAGCGTCTTGCAGCAACTGAAAAAAAATAGAACGCAAATTATTTTAGATAATAGTACGTATCCTCTGCTCCTAGCAAGTTTCAGGCCGTGTACTGTTGTTGAGTTTGGGTCCTTAAGTGGGCTTCTGTTTCAAGGTACAACAGCACATAGGCAGCTTGGTTGTGGAACATTTTAAAGATGACGTGGAGGTGGTGATGAGGGATCCCATATTGTTTGGAGACTTCCAGATGGCTCTGCACGAAGGAGAACCACGCATTTATGAAGACATCCAGGACTACGAGGCGGCCAAGGCTCTGTTCCAGGTGGGGATGAGCCCCACCCTGTCCATGGGCTCACTTTCTCCTGAGCATGGGCCAAGCGGGAGCTGAGCATCGCGCGGGTGCCCGGGAGCCTATCACCTGGGGCTCTGTCTGAGGGCTTGAAATACGGGCTTGTGTCTGGTCCGGTGGTTCCCACATCCAGCATGCTTGGGAGTGACGTTAGGAAATTGTTAGACTCCTGGGGCCACCCCGTGAGATTTGCTGCGCTGGGCCCATGGAGGGTCCCCAGATTCTGGTGCACAGCCAGGTTTGGGAACCACTTGTTTGACTCCCTAATATTCATTTTCATTTAAATTCATGAGATGAGCCTTGTTACCGGCTTTGGGTCGCTGCTGGCCAATCAAAGCCCAGCAGATGGAAATCTCGATTGTGAAAGCTAGATTAGTCCTGGAGACCCAAGCAGTTTAATTATTTTAACTACTATAGATGTTCAGAAAAATCTCTCTTCCATTCTTAATCTCCTCTGGACAAAAGGAGGGAGTCTGTCTCTTAAAATCCAGTGATCCTTTAAGACATTATTTATTTATTTATTTATTTTGAGACAGGGTCTCTCTCTGTCACCCAGGCCACAGTGCAGTGGTACGATCACGGCTCTCTGCAGCCTCAACCTCCTGGGCTCAAGTGATCTTCCTGCCTCAGCCTCTGGAGTAGCCGGGACTATGGGCACACATCACCGTGCCCAGCTGATTTTTTTGTTTTTATTTTTGTAGAGACGTAGTCTTGCTCTGTGGCCCAGGTTGGTCTCGAACTCCTGGGCTCAAGTGATCCTCCCTCCTCAGCCTCCCAAAGTGCTGGGATTATAGGCATGAGCCACTGTGCTGGGTTTTAAATTCTCTTTTTTTTTTTAATGCTTTAAATTCTAGGGTACATGTGCACAACATGCAGGTTTGTTACATACGTATACATGTGCCATGTTGGTGTAGTGCACCCATTAACTCGTCATTTACATTAGGTGTATCTCCTAATGCTATCCCTCCCCCCTCCCCCCACCCCACAACAGGCCCTGGTGTGTGATGTTCCCCTTCCTGTGTCCATGTGTTCTCATTGTTCAATTCCCACCTATGAGTGAGAACATGCGGTGTTTGGTTTTCTGTCCTTGCAGTAGTTTGCTGAGAATGATGGTTTCCAGCTTCATCCATGTCCCTACAAAGGACATGAACTCATCCTTTTTAATGGATGCATAGTATTCCATGGTGTATATGTGCCACATTTTCTTAATCCAGTCTATCATTGATGGGCATTTGGGTTGGTTCCAAGTCTTTGCTATTGTGAGTAGTGCCGCAATAAACATACGTGTGCATGTGTCTTTATAGCAGCATGATTTGTAATCCTTTAGGTATATGCCCAGTAACGGGATGGCTGGGTCAAACACTATTTCTAGTTCTAGATCCTTGAGGAATCGCCACACTGACTTCCACAATGGTTGAACTAGTTTACAGTCTCACCAACTGTGTAAAACTGTTCCTATTTCTCCACATCCTCTCCAGCACCTGTTGTTTCCTGACTTTTTAATGATTGCCATTCTAAGTGGTGTGAGATGGTATCTCATTGTGGTTTTGATTTGCATTTCTCTGATGGCCAGTGATGATGAGCATTTTTTCATGTGTCTTTTGGCTGCATAAATGTCTTCTTTTGAGAAGTGTCTGTTCGTATCCTTCGCCCACTTTTTGATGAAGTTGTTTGATTTTTTCTCGTAAATTTGTTTAAGTTCTTTGTAGATTCTGGATATTAGCCCTTTGTCAGATGGGTAGATTGTAAAACCCACCATGCTGGGTTTTGAATTCTTTTTTTTTTTTTAAATGCAGGAAATTCTTGAAGAGTATAATGAAAGCAACACCAAAATGAACTTGGTTCTCTTCGACGATGCTCTGGAGCATTTAACCCGGGTGCACCGTATCATCCGCATGGACCGCGGCCACGCCCTGCTGGTCGGGGTAGGGGGCTCAGGGAAGCAGTCTCTTTCGAGGCTGGCTGCCTTCACAGCCAGCTGTGAGGTCAGTCCACGTACCCTCCCAGAAATAGGTTTACGATGCCAGTTTCTGCAGTTGGTAGTTCGTGTACATATTGGAACAATCCACAGCAGATCATAGCATGATGTTTTCATAGAGTATCGAGGTGGGTGTTTTGGTTTGTTTTATTTTTTCTTGTTTTTGGCTTGATATTACTATATTTTAACTGAATAGCCAGAGCATCTAAGTACAGGTGTTCTTTGGCTTAGGATAGGGTTACATCCTGATAAAATAATCATAAGTCAAAAATATTGTCAGTTGAAAATACATTTAATATCCCAATTAACCCATCATAAAGTTGAAAAATCCTAAGTGGAACCATCAAAGCCGGGGACCATCTGTATTGCTTTGTTTTTAGGATGGAGAATGTCAGATCAAGTTAGAAAGTCAAATACAAGCACATCCTGTGAACGGTGATGTGTGTTCATATGGGGAGGGCTTGGCCCAAACCTCAGTGCACCCATAGTATGGGGCTGGCAATTTGCTGGCTGCCATATCTGCACAGCCTGCACACACAGATCTGGGTTAATCTTAGAATCTTGTATTTTTAAACAGCTTTACTGAGATTGAATTCAAGACCATACAATCCACACATTCAAAGCATACAAGCCAGTGCTTGTTGGCACATTCACAGATCTGTGCAACCAGACCACAGTCTACTTTAGAACACTTCTGTGGCTTCGGCCGGGCGTGGTGGCTCATACCAGTAATCCCAGCACTTTGGGAGGCCAAGGCGGGTGGATCACCTGAGGTCAGGAGTTCATCATCACCCTTGCCAACATGGTGAAACCCCGTCTCTACTAAAAATAAAAAAATGATCCAGGCATGGTGGCACGCACCTGTAATCCCAGCTACTCGGAGGCTGAGGCAGGAGAATCACTTGAACCTGGGAGGCAGAGGTTGCAGTGAGCTGAGGTCATGCCGCAGCACTCCAGCCTGGGAGACAGAGTAAGACTCTGTCAAAAAAAAAAAAAAAAAAAAAAAAAAGAACATTTTGTGGTTTCAAAAAGAAAAAGAAATCCCATGCCCTTTAGTGATCACCACCCTGACCTCTGCACCCTCCCCTCATCAAGCCCTGAGCAACTAACGGACTAATCTGCTTTCTGTCTCTATAGTCTTCCTATTCTAGACTTTCATGTGAATAGTGTGTGTGTCTATTTTGTGTCTGGTATCTTTCTTTTAGCACAGTGCTTTCAAAGTTCATGTTGTAGCATACATCGGTACTTCATTTTTTTTTTGCCAAATAGGAGGCCCTCGTGTGGCTATGCCACGTTTCCTTTATCCACTGCTGGGCGTGTTTGTTGTTTCCACCTGTTGGCTTTTGTGGACAGTGCTGCTGTGAGCTTTCATGCACAAGTTTCTGTGTGGACATGTGTTTGCATTGCTCTTGAGTATGCTCCTACAAGTGGAATTGCGGGATCCTATGATAACTCTATGTTTAATTGTTTGAGGAACCTCCAGGGTGTGGCTGCACCGTTTTCCATTCCTACCAGCAGCGTCTGAGGGTTCCTGTTTGTCCACACCATTCTTAGAATCATACAGGTACCTCCTGCAGGTTCCACAGGTAACTCACCTGCAAGGGGCCTCTCGAAGTGGAGCAGACACTATGCATTGAGATGTAATTTGAAGAAGAGTCATGTCCCTCATTCACCCTTTTCTCCCCGACTCTTCATTAGTTCTCTGGTATCTGACTTCTTTCACTATTAGGGTCTCCCGTTATCCAAAATGCCTCTGTTTTTGCCTCTGGTTGCATGATACACATGCATGCTTATAATATTTTCAATTTACAATGGATTTATTGAGACGTAGCCCCATCTTAAGCTGAAAAGTGTACCCTAAAATGCAACTAGTACCTAACAGCGGCTATCTTTAGGTGATGAAATTACAAATGATCTTTATTTTCTTTAGACGTTTCTGCATTGCTTGAATTGTTGCAATGAGGATTATTCCATTTAGAGAGAGAGAGAAATGAGTGAGTCCATAACAATAGTGATTCTTATTCCATGCAATGGACTGAAGTTTTGTCCGTGCCTGTTCTGGGTGTGTGGTGCAGGACGGGATCTGTATTCAGCCTCAGTTCTTCTCAGATGCTCAGCCACCCCTCATGTCTACCTCAGAACCTTTTGATAAGTCCACCTTTAGAGAAGACACTTCTTGCAGAAGGGTCATTTTCATGACTCTTCTCCTCCTGGCAAGCAAGAGGTGTTCTTTTTCTTCGCCCCCGAGATGGAGTTTCGCTCTGTTGCCCAGGCTGGAGTGCAATGACGTGATCTCGGCTCACTGCAACCTCTGCCTCCCCGGGTTCAAGCGATTCTCCTGCCTCAGCCTCCTGAGTAGCTGGGATTACAGGCATGTGCCACCACGCCCGGCTAACTTTTGTATTTTTACTAGAGACGGGGTTTCGCCATGTTGGCCAGGATGGTCTTGAACTCCTGACCTAAGAGGTGTTCTTTTGCACAGACTTTCTTCTTTGTCTTCAGTGTGTTTTCTGGAATCAGATTTAACTCAGCATCATTGCCATTACCACAGAGAGTCTTAGGCAGTTCAGGCTGTTATAACAAAGTGCGATAGACTGGCTGGCTCGTGGACAGCAGGTGTTCGTTTCTCACCATTCTGGAGGCTGGGAATTCCAAGATCAGGGTGCCAGCATGGTCGGGCTCCAGAGAGGGCCCTCTCCCGGGCTGCAGATGGCTGGCTTCTCATGGCATTCTTACATGGATGGATGACAGCACGAAAAGTCTTTGGGGTCCCTTTTATAAGGGCACTAATCCCATTCGTGAGGGCTCCACCCTCATCACCTAATCACCTCCTAAAAGCCCAACCTCCAAATACCATCACATTGGGGGTTATGATTTCAACAAAGGAATTTTGTGTGTGTGTGTGGGGAGAACAAACATTCAGTCTATTGCACGGAGTAAGAATCACTATTGTTATGGACTCACTCATTTCTCTCCCTCTAAATGGAATAATCCTCACTGCAACAATTCAAATGATGCAGAAGCGTCTAAAAAAATAAGGATCACTTGTAATTTCATCACCTAAAGATTGCCACTGTTAGGTACCAGTAGCCTTTTAGTGTATACTTTTCTTTTTTTAAATTATTTTTCTGTTATTTTCATTTTTGGTCTGGGAACCAACGGAATAATGTACACTTTTCAACTTACAATAGGGCTGTCTCAATAAACCCATCATAAGTTGAAAATATTATAAGCTGAAAATGCACTTTTGATTTATATATTCAACTTACAATGGGTTTATCTGGATGTGACCCCATCGTTAAGTTGAGGAGTGTGCTGAAAGTGTAGCACTTTTGCGCCATGGCAAAGTCAAAAAGTTCTAAGTTGAACCAGAGGAAGTCAGGGACCATATGTGCATTCATACACAAACGTATTTCCTTCTTACCAGCAATGGGTTAAAGTTATATGTAACTTATGTCATTTTTCCCCACTGTGTCACTGCGTCTTTCCAAGTCAATAAATACATATTTACATTGTCTTTGGAAGCGTTGGACAGTATTCTATTGTTTGGATATGCCACACATAACCCATTTCCAATGGCGGGCATTTAGCTTTGTCCTTGTTTTCTTATTACTAACAGTGCAGTGATGAACACCTTTGTTTATGTATCTTTGAATATTGTTCATTTTTTTTTCCCTATAGGATCACTTTCTTTAGAGATTGGTAAGTTGGCAGGTTAAAGGGTATATGCTCTTTTACAGCTTTGGTTGCCTGGCACCAGATTTCGCACTGGGAAGGTTGGATCTAAACTCATATGGAGTTTGCCTCTTTGGAGTGGAAAGGACCTGGGGATGCAGGACAGAAGGAAAGGAAAAAAGTGTCCTTATTAACAACCAATCACCCCACCACAAAGGATTATGCTAATTTATGCAACTGGCAGTGTCTGTTTTCACATATTCTTGCCAATACTAGATATTGTCATGCTGATATTTGTCAAGATTATAGGTGGAAAATATTGCAGTTTAAATGATCCTTTCTCCAATTAATAGTAAAGTTTGAATATCCTTTTATACATTTTTTGGACATTTACCTTTTCTCTTTTGTGTATTGCCCCTTTATATACTTATTGAGTTGTGAGAACTCTTTATATAGGAGAGCAATCACAGTTCATTCAATGAATCCAGCTTCCAAAATTTCACAAATATTGGCCTTTTGTTTGAGGTATTTGTAAAAAAGGGAAAAACTAATATGCTTGATCTAGCTTTAAATCTGATGAAATACATAATTGAAATCATTCATTGTTAAAATATAACTGTTTGCAATTGTTTTCCACATTTTTCTATAGGACAAGGCATTCCCCACTGGAAAGTTTTATTATTTTTTTTCTGTTGATTTGTCCAGGTAAATCTGAGGCATTTTCCCCTAAAGTAGCGCCTCGAGGAACAGCAGAGAGGATGTTGAGGGACAGAGATCTGGAGGAGGTTGAGGACACACAGGGCTGTGTCTGGGCCCTAGGAAGTGGCGAGGGTTGGGTAGTGGGGTCAGAACAGGTGTTCAGAGAGTAGTGCCAGGAGCTGCTGGGGAGGGGAGGCGGCTGCACTCGGGAGGGGTGAGGAAGGTTTGCAGGCGACAGGCAGAACTGGAGACCAGAGTCTATTGGCCAGAAGGCATCCTGGTTGCGTTGCGCGCGCGCGCGTGTGTGTGCACACGTGTGTGTGTGTGTGTGAGCATGTGTTCTAGTGCATGCCAGGGTGCAAGTGAGTGTGTGGCTGAGTGTGAACATGTGGGAATGACTGTGTGAGTGTGACAGTGTGAGTGAAGCGTGTGTGTCAATGCATAGGGTTGAGGGAGGTAGGGAACAGAGAGAGATCTCTCAGTTCCTGGAAATCTGCCATGTTTCTGACAGTCGCTGGTTGCAATGAAAGTTTTAATTTCTGCTTCTGAGCTAAAAGAAACACTTGAGCAGAAAAAGCGTGCTTTAAACTTATGTCCTTATTCACATTTACATCGATTTCGTGTGTACATTGATTTCCTGTCACGAAGTTAAAGTGCCTGCTTATTTCTCCCTGTGTGCGTCTTCCCACAGGGTCTGATTTTCTGTAAACTGCAGTATGTGGCTGGCGTTCACCTTGGGGTACATTCTTCCCCCCTTTCCTCTGTTGCTGGGCTCATGGGGCTTCCCCCTCCTCTGTTTCATGACAGGGAGTCCCTTCCAGACTTTTCTTTCCTGACCTACTTCCTCGAGCTTGGACAGACCCACGCCCTCTGCACTCTCCTCCAGCGTCCCCACCCCGGAGCCCGCAGGGAAGGGAGGCTGGTGGTGGTGACGCCCATGTGCTCTGTGTCTGCATCGCAGGTGTTTGAGATCCTGCTGAGCCGAGGCTACTCGGAGAACAGTTTCCGGGAAGACCTGAAGAGCCTCTATTTGAAACTTGGGATTGAGAACAAAGCGATGATCTTTCTGTTCACGGATGCCCATGTGGCTGAGGAGGGCTTCCTGGAGCTCATCAACAACATGCTGACCTCAGGTACAGCCAAGGCTGGCGCCCGCTGTGGCCAACACCCCGCTCAGCTCTTAAGGGAGTTCACTTTCTTCAGCAGTTACCACCTCCAGACACTGTGGGTAGCCCTGTGCGGGTGTACCTGTTCCTCCCTCACGGCGGCCCCTGAGATAGGTCTCATTATCTTCCTTGGCTCCTCCTGTCCTGGAGTCTCCCGAGTGTGCCCCCTTCTCTCCGTCTGCGATGATGGCAGTATCCTTGCAGTAAGAACAGGTGGTGTCTGGGCATCTGGCCGTGCCCCGGGCTGTGCTAAGTGTGCATCATACATTCCCGTCTCCACAAAAACTTGATGAGAGGCCAGGTGTGGTGCCTCCTGCCTGTGATCCCAGCACTCTGGGAGGCCAAGGAGGGAGGATAGCTTGAGCCCAGGAGTTTGAGACCCCGTCTTTACAAATTTTTTTTTTCTTTTTTTTTTTTAGATAGAGTCTCGTTCTGTCTTCCAGGCTGGAGTGCAGTGGCGTGATCTTGGCTCACTGCAAGCTCCGCCTCCTGGGTTCACACCATTCTCCTGCCTCAGCCTCCCGAGTAGCTGGGACTACAGGCACCCACCACCATGCCCGGCTAATTTTTTGTATTTTCAGTAGAGACGGGGTTTCACCGTGTTAGCCAAGATGGTCTCGATCTCCTGACCTTGTGATCCACCCGCATCGGCCTCCCAAAGTGCTGGGATTACAGGCGTGAGCCACCGTGCCTGGCACAAAAATATTTTTAAGAAGTTAGCCAGGCATGATGGCGTGAGCCTGTAGTTCCAGCTACTCAGGAGGGGCAGGAGGATTGCTTGAGCCTGGGAGGTTGAGGCTGCGGTAAGTCATGATCATGTTATGGCACTCCAGCCTGGGCAACAGAGTGAGACCCTGTCTCCAAAAAGAAAAAAAAACAAAAGCAACTGAAAAACAATCAAACCTAATAGGGAAGGTACCATTAACATCCTCATTTCACAGCTGAGGAAACTGAGGCCCCTGTAGAGGGCTGAATGGCGGCCCTCTAAAAGACACATCCTAAACCCCTGGATCTTGAGAACGAGACCTTTGTAAGAAAAAGAGTCTTTGCAGATGTAATTAAATTAAAGATCTTGAAGTGCCTTCCTGGATTTAGGGTGGGTCCTAAATCCAGTGACAGCTGTCCTTATAAGAGAAGGCAGAGGGAGATTTGAGACACAGAGAATAAGGTCCCATAAAGATTCCCACAAGTCACGGGACACCTGGAGCCACCAGAAGCCAGAGGAGGCAAAGAAGGATTTTTCCCTTGGAGCTGTTGGCAGGTTACCCTGAGACCTTGATTTCAGGCCTCCAGAACTGCAAGAGAGTCGGTGTCTGTATTTCTTGTCTGAAGCCACTCGCTTTGGGGTAATTAGTCATGGCTGCCCCAGAAATCTACTAGAGATGCCACCTACCTTATCCAAGGGCACCTTGCTGGGAAGGCACTGAGGTGAGACTCGAACCCAGGATTTTTAGCATCTTAGCCACGCTCACAACCACTTTACCGTGTTGTTATCTTGTCTACCCTGGGGCCCTGCAAAGATCCGTGCTGACTTCGTCTGGCCTAATGGCTTACAGGGACCTCCTTTCTTTCCCAGGGACCTATTTCATCGATTGCTTGTTTGTTTCAGCACCTGACCATATTCATTATTGTATTGCTGTGTTATTCATTGAGCCCCAGCCTCCCAGCATTTACTATAAAAAATTTCTAACATAACAGTGAGGCTGAAAGAATTTTTTCTGTGAACATCTGCCGGCATGCCATCTAGATCCCTCCTTTCTCGCCTTGCTGCACTTGCTCTGCCATGCGTGTAAACAGCTTTCCCTCCCTCCCTGCTTCCGCCCTTCTCGTTTTTAGATGCGTTTCAGAGTCAATTGCAACATCACTGCTCTCCCCGCTAAATGCTTCTGCGTGCCACTATCTAGAGTTCAAGTTTTGTTTAGTGTTTTCTTTTGATGTAAAATTTACATACAGGGAAACGCACAACATTTTAAGTGTATATTTGCTGCATTTTGATCATTGCGTTTTAAGTTGCGTCTGTTTCAGTGGGTTGTCGGCTCCTTGAGAGGGGGGATCGGGTCATCCACCTGGATTTATTCCACAGTGTTTATTCCAGACACTGGGTTTGGTAGGGAATAAGATGGTCATGACCTCTGCCCTCCTTGGAGCATACATTTCAGCGTGTGAGTGGACTGGTTAACGACAACAACAACTACACAAAGAGATACAGCAATTGCAGATTGTGGTAAGTGCCGTGAGTGCAAAGGGGAGTTGCTGTGAGAGAGAGTGTGGGCAGGAGCATCTCAGGGCAGACAGGGAAGGCGTCACTGTAGAGACTTTTCAGCTGAGGCCTGAGAGATGCTGTGTGATCACACTCCCTATGGCTGCTGTAGCAAATTTCCCCAAACAGCACGGATTTATTCCCCTATGCGCCTGGAGGTCAGAAATCAGAAAAGGGTCTTAAGGGGTTAAGATCAGGGTGTTGGTGGGGCTGGTTCCTTCCAGAGCTTCCTGGGGACACTCTGTTTCCCTGTCTCTTCCAACTGCTTCAGGCCACCCGTTTCTTGGCTCTTTAGCTCGCTGGCTCTCATCCTTCCAGTCTCTACTTCTGTCATCCTGATGCAAACTCAGCTGCTTCTCTCTTGTGGGGACCCCTGTGATCGTCTCCAGCCCACCTGGGTAATTGAGAGCACGCGCTCCATCCCACCATCCTTGGCTGCGTCACATCCACAGAGTCCTTTTTGCAGGAAACATAAAGAAACCCATTGGCCGGTTCCTGGGCTTAGGATGCCATGGACACCTTTAGAGGGCTGTTGTGCAGGGATCAGGACGAGGTGGAGGGGTTCTATGGCGTGGAACCTTGTAGGTCATTTATAGGAGATAAGATTTTATTCTCAGTGCAATGACGTAGTCCAGATTTATGGGTTTTTTAATTTTTTAGATTTAATTAATTAATTATTTCAGAGACAGGGTCTTACTCTGTTGCCCAGGCCAGAATGCAGCGGCATGATCATAGCTCATTGTAGCTTCCAACTCCTGGGCTTACACAATCTTCCTGTCCCAGCCTTTCGAGTAGCTGGGACTACAGATGCATCTCACCACAACCAGCTGATTAAAAAAAAAAAAACACACTTTTTTTTTTAAGAGGTGGAGTCTTCCTGCATTGCCCAGGCTGGTCTTGAACTCCTGGGCTCTAGTGTTTTTCCTGCCTCACCTTCCCAAGGTGTTGAGATTACAGGCGTGAGCCACTGCACCCAGCCAAGATTTATGTTTCTAAAAGATCCCTCCAGTGCGCCGTGGGGACGAGATTAGAGGGGAACAGGAGTGGGAGAGGGGCATCCAGTTTGGAGCTACCCCTGCAGTGTAGGCAGGAAGTGACAGCGATTGGAGGAGGGTAGGGCACTGGGGACAGAGAGAAGTGGGTGGATTCACGAGGTATTCAGGAGGCAGAGCCAACGGGACTTCGATCGATTTGGCTGTGGGTTGGGGGAGGGGTATCAAGGGTGACTCCCAGGTTTCTGGTGGAGCGAGTGATCAGTGCTTCCATTTGCTGAGATGAGGAAGACCAGTTCTGGGCTTGTGGCATTAGGAGCGTGTTGAGTTTGCTGCACTAGATGAGAATCTGAATGTGATGTCATATAGTGTATTAGTTTGCTGGGGCTGCCGTCACAAAATGCCACAAACTGGGTGGCTTAAAACAATAGAAATCTACTCTCACAGTTCTGGAGGCCAGGAGCCCAAGATCACGGTGTCGGCAGAGCCCGTTCCTTCTGAGCTCTGGGTGGGGGAATCTGTGTTGCTGGTGGCTGCTGACAGTCTTTGGTGTTCCTTGGCTTGTAGGCACAGAACTCCAGTCCCTGTCTTCGTTGTCACGTGGCCTTCCCCTTGTGTGCTGTCTGTCTCTGTGTCCAAATTTCCCTCCTTTATAAGGGTACCTGTCATATTGCATTAGGGCCCATCTCAATGACCTCATTTCAACTTGATTATCTCTGTAAAGACAATTTCCAAATAAAGTCACAATCTGAGCTACTTTGGGGACTTCAGTATATCTTTTTCAGGGCGACATGCAACTTCAACCGTAATACATAGGCAGTGTGTACATGAGTCTGGTTCTCAGAATAGGAGCCTAGGGTGGGGACGTCAATTTCAGAGTCACTGACATGTGGTGGGACCCGAGTGAACCATCCAGGGAGAGCCCAGCACTGAGTTCAGGTGGAAGAGGAACGAGCAGAGACTGAGAGGGCAGGCGGAGCACGGGGAGCGAGAGACTGAGAGGGCAGGCAGAGCCCCGGGAGGAAGAGACTGAGAGGGCAGGCAGAGCACAGGGAGCAAGTTCCTCTTTGTCTTTTGGGAGTCTTGGGCTCCCTGCCAAGGGAGGGATCCCTCTCCCTTGTTGAATATCCCCAAGACCATCCCCGGCTCCGTGACTTGCTAGGAGGACTCGCAGGACTCAGCATGTGGTCCTGCTCATGGCTGTGAGTCATTACAGCAAAAGGACACAGAGCAACATCAGCAGAGGGAAAAAGTGCATGGGGGACCCTAGGGAAGACCAGTCTCAAGTCTCAGAGTCCTCTCTCCGGGGAGCCACACAGGACATGCTTAATCCCCCAACATTGAGTTGTGGCAACTCGTGTGAAGTACTGCCCACCAGGGGAGCTAGTTGGAGACTCAGTGCTCCGGGATTTCCTTGGGGCTGCTCATGTAGGCACCTCTACCTGGCATGTGCCAAAATCCCGGATGCCCGGAGGGAGAGCGGGTAGTCAGCATAGAATACGTTGCATACCCAAGCAGTGTGGGCACAATGTTAGGCTGTTCTTGCATTGCTATAAAGAAATACCTTAGACTGGTTTTTTATAAAGAAAAGAGGTTCATGTGGCTCACAGTGCCGCAAGCTGTACAGGAAGCATGGTGCTGATTTCTGGGGAGGCCTCAGGAAACTTACAGTCATGGCAGAAGGTGAAGGGGGAGCAGGCGCGTCCCATGGCCAGAGTGGGAGCAAGGTTGGGGGAGGGGCCACACACTTTCAAACAACCAGATCTCACGAGAACTCACTCGCGCTCACAAGAACAGCACTAAGAGGATGGTGCTAAACCATCCATGAGAGATCTGCCCCCATCATCCAGTCACCTCCCACCGGGCCCCACCTGTAACACTGGGGATCACAATTCAACCTGAGATTTGGTGCGGACGCAGATCCAAACCACATCCCATATTGGGCCACTCTTATCAGTGAATCGGGGAGGAAGCTCTTAAGGAAACTAAGTTCCCAGGTGCCTTTCAGAGGTGAGCAGCCGTGGCCTGCCACGTTAACTCTTCCCTGCACAGGAGAACGTCAGAGATGGCATAAAATGTATTGCATAATTTGAAACGGCGTAGATATAGGAAAAAAGAAGTCCACGTAGCCAGGGTTTCTCGACTGCGTGCCGTTGACATTTGGGGCTGGGCTGTTCTTTGTTGTGGTGGGGCTCTCCTGGGCACTGTGGGAGGTTCAGCAGCATCCCTGGCCTTGACCTATTAGATGCCAGTAGCAACCTCCCTTGCAACAAGCAGAAATATCTCCAGACATGGCCCAGTGTTTCCTGGGGGCAAATCCCAGCTGAGAATCCCTGCTTCGGAGTTACAGGCAAGTGAGGCCTCCTCATGCTCTGCATGCTCCCTGTGATGCTCACGGTCATCCTCCCAGGCGAGCTGGCGGCATCTAGGATCCCCGTTTGACAGACAGGAGCTGGAGGCTCTAAGGGCTTGCCACGAGGTGGCAGGGAGCCTCGGGTCTCAGGTCAGGCCCACACGCTGCTCTCTGGACTCAGCACCTGCTGATCTTTCCACACCTTCCATCACTCAGTCAGCACTTAGAGCGGTCATGACCCTGGGACTCAGAGAGATCACCAGCATGTCTTCCTTTTCCAGGAATTGTACCTGCGCTTTTTTCTGAAGAGGAGAAAGAGTCTATCCTGAGTCAGATTGGACAGGAAGCTCTGAAGCAAGGCATGGGGCCGGCCAAGGAGTCTGTGTGGCAGTACTTCGTGAACAAAAGTGCAAATAACCTGCACATTGTCCTGGGCATGTCGCCAGTGGGGGACACCCTGAGGACCTGGTGCAGAAACTTCCCAGGTACCCGCGGTGGAGCCTGTGAACCCATTTCCCCTGCTTTGGCAGAGTGTGTGGCTGAGGGTCTGTCCACACCTCTCCAGGTTCCCCCAGCAAAGCAAAACAAGACACGGCCATTAGGTGGAAATGTGGGCTCTGCACTGTAGCTTGGGGCTCACTGCCCCTTCTAGGTGCCAGTGGGCGTGAGTGATGTCCCTCTGACAGGAGGATGTACCCATGCTCCTCCATGCGAGGCCCGCAGTGCATGGACGGTGGCTCCCCGCTTCCTTCCATTTGGGAAAATTCCACCAGCCTCATGCCAGCCTTTAGAGCAGAGGTTCCTAATGGGCGGGGCAGGGGCGGGGGAGGTTGTGTTCTAGGGGACTCTTGGCAATGCCTGGAGACATTTTTGGTCATCACAGCCCCGGGGAGCATGCAGTGTAGTACTGGCATCTAGTGGGTAGAAGCCAGGGATGCTGTGAAGCATCCTACAGTGCACAGCCAGCTGCTGCCACAAAGGATTAGAGCCCAGATGTCAATAGCGCCAAGGGTGAGAAACTCTGCTTTTGATGAACTAGATTTGGACACATCTGGCTCATTCACCAACTTGTTGGCTATTGAAGATGGCATCCATGTTCTTGAGTGTCTCAGGGTTGCAGAATGAGCATCCTTTTTTTTTTTTTTTTTTTTTTTTTTGAGACAGAATCTCGCTCTGTCGCCCAGATTAGAGTGCAGTGGCACCATCATAGGTCACTGCAGCCTCGACCTCCTGGGCTCAAATGAGCCTCTCACCTCAGCCTCCCTAGTGGCTGGGACTATAGGCGCACACCACCACGCTGCCTGGCTGATTTTTTTTTTCTTTGAGACAGGGTCTCACTCTGTTGCCCAGACTGGAGTGCAGTGGTGTGATCTTGGCTCACCACAACCTCCACCTCTCGGGTTCAAGCGATTCTCTCACCTCAGCCTCCTGAGTAGCTGGGATTACAGGTGTGCACCACTACTGCCCGGCTAATTTTTGTATTTTTAGTAGAGATGGAGTTTTGCCATGTTGTCCAGGCTGGTCTTGAACTCCTGACCTCAAATGATCCACCCGCCTTGGCCTCCCAAAGTGCTGGGATTACAGGTGTGAGCCACCACACCCGGCCCTGATTTTTGTATTTTTTGTAGAGACAGGGTCTCGCCACATTGCCCAGGCTGGGAGCATCTTTTTAATCTCTCTTTCCTTTCAAGGTATGGTAAATAACACTGGTATTGACTGGTTCATGCCCTGGCCTCCCCAAGCCCTCCATGCGGTCGCAAAGTCCTTTCTAGGTAAGTCACAGCTGTTATGGGAACTGCATTATTGATAAAACAAAGCAATTTATTTTCCCTTTTCTGACTTTGAATTCTGGTCTTGTAGATTTCTTCACTGGAAAACCCTATGGTAACAAATGGCTTTCAATTTTGTTAGTATGTTTTTGGTTTATATTTGGTGTTTTAGTCCAAAGACATTTCAGGAGACTTAGCAAGGACAATTTAGGATAAAAATTGATTAGGTGTTCTCCACAGCAGCAGTTGGCAAAACCATGGTCTGCTGTCTAGTTGGCCCCTTACTTGTTTTAGTAAATAAAGTTTTATTGGTACACAGACTCACTCATTAATTAACATATTGTCTCTGGCTGCTTTTATGCTACAACCGCAAAGCTGAATAATTGCAACAGAGACCGTATGAGTACTGTTCGGCTCTTTGTAGAAAACATGTGCTGGCCTCTATCCAAAGAATGCTCCAAGGACAATTCAGCAAACATTCTGCATTCTCATTGAATTTCTAGCGTTTCAAACACCTAAGGCCTTGGATATTAATTTTAATGTTTGAATAAGAAAGGAAGTCTGTCTTCAGGGAACATCTTTTTCTTTTGACCTAACTTGAGCAGATTTATGATGAATGACACTGGGTAACCTTGAAAATAGTTTCAACCTTCTAAATCTGTACTCAATAATAAATAAATAAATGTTCCTATATGTAAGAAGAAATCATAACTTTAATCATAATGCAGTTTTGGGGGAAAAGGGGCCAAGAGAATGACTCTTTTCTGATGATATATCTCAGGTCCAGATGGTAAATATTTACAGCTTTTTCGCAACTACTCAATTCTGCCATTTTATCATGAAAGCAGTCATAGACAATACGTAAATGAATCGCTATGGCTGTGATCCAATAACACTTTATTTACAAAAACAGGGGGCGGGCTGGATTTGTCCTTTGGCCCGTAGTTGGCCAGCCCCAATATAGATGTCCCCTTGTTCTCAGAGGCGTATTTGCCGTTTCCATGTGTGAAGTGCTTGTGTTTGCTTTCAGTATTCAGTGATTCAGCATCATAAATAATGCTGCCTAGAATTTGCTTAGAACTTTTTTGTCCTTAGAATATACTCCCTGGAGGCCAGGCGCAGTGGCTCACACCTGTAATCCCAGCACTTTGGGAGGCTGAGGCGGGTGGATCACTTGAGCCCAGGAGTTCGAGACCAGCCTGGGCAAAATGGTGAAACCCTGTATTTACTAAAAATACAAAAATTAGCTGGGTGTGGTGGTGGGCACCTGTAATCCCAGCTACTCAGGAGGCTGAGCCATGAGAATTGCTTGAGCCCAGGAGGCAGAGGTTGCAGTGAGCCGAGTTTGTGCCACTGCTCTCCATCCTGGGAGGCACAGTGAGACTTTATCTCACACACACACACACACACACACACACACACACACACAGAGAGAGAGAGAGAGAGAGAGAGAGAGAGAGAGAGAGAGAGAGAGAATATATTCCCTGGAATTGAGATGACTATGCCCAAAGGCACAGATATTTGTGAGGCACCGTTTTTCCTGCACACTGTAAAATGGGCCCTGGGGCTGTGTTTTGCTAACCCCGGAGTAACTCAGGACCAGCTCTGCAGAATCTGGATTAATCGGTACTTTCAATCTGTCTTTCCTTCCTCCATTTTAATATGAGACATTCTCTGCTTTGAGCTGAATGCATTTAACAACCTATCAGATAATCCAGGTGATGTGATCTTGACACTGGAAGCCATCATTCATTCTTTCAGCGGGTGTATAGGAAGGCCCACCTTTGCCGATATGTGCTGGGTGTCATCCAGCGGTGGGTAACCGAATAAGCCCACCCAGTCCTCGGGCGGGCGAGGGGAGCAACAGGGCAGAGTTAGACGTGGTGATCGCTTCTGAAAACCCAAGGCCCTTCTGCCACGGTGTCTTGGCCTTTAGGGAAGACAGGGCTTCCTAACAGTAGGGAAGGAATTAGGTAACAGAGTGAGACCCTGTCTCAAGAAAAAAAAAAAAAAAAAAGAAGGATTAGCACGGATCACTGCTGTGGCCCTGAAAAGCCACCAATAAGTGATAGCCATTCTTTTCTTGTCCTATTAAAAACTTTAACATCATTTTTTTATTGTAGTAAAATATATGTAACATAACATTTTCCATTTTAAGCATTTTGAAATGTACATGTGGCACTAATCACATTCGTAATGTTGTGAAACCAACACCACTGTCTGTTGCCAAAACTTTTCATCATCCCAAACTGAAACTCCATACCCGTTAAACACGAACTCCCCATCGCCCCTCCCTCCAGCCCCTGGCAACCTCGAATCTGTGTTCTGTCTGTATGAATTTGCCTGTTCTAGAGAGGGTTCGTATAAGTGGAATCATGCAATGTTTGTCCTTTGGTGTCTGGCGTCTTTCACTTAGCATCATGTTTTTGAGGCTCATCCGTGTTTCAGCATCGGAACTTCATTCCTTTTTACAAGTGAATACTATCCCCGGTATAGATAGGACACATTTTGTTCATCCATTCCTCCGTTGCTGGACGCTTGGGTCTTTCCACCTTTTGCTTATTGTGATAGTCTACAGTAAACATTGGCATACAAGAATTCATTTGAGTCCCTGCTTTTCAGTTCTTTGGGGTATATACCTAGGAGTGGAATTGTTGAGTCATATAATAGTTCTATATTTAACTCTTTGAAGAATCCCTGTTTTCCTTTCTTAACAAGCATGGCTGGGTGCGGTGAGTCACGCCTGTAATCCCAGCACTTTGTGGGGCTGAGGTGGACCGATTGCCTTAGCTCAGGAGTTAAGACCAGCCTGGGCAACATGGGTGAAACCTCACCTCTACAAAATAATACAAAAAATTACCCAGGCATGGTGGCCCATCCTGTAGTCCCAGCTACTTGGGAGGCTGAGGTGGGAGGATCACCTGTGCCCAGGAGATGGAGGCTGCAGTGAGCCATGATCACGCCACTGCACTCCAGCCTGGGCAACAGAGTGAGACCCTGTGTCGAAAAAGAAAAAGAAAGAAAACATTTTTTATTCCTTCCTCTTCAGGGTATAATCCAATGATCCCGGCAGAAAATATAGAAAATGTGGTGAAGCATGTTGTCTTGGTTCACCAATCCGTGGACCACTACAGCCAACAGTTTCTACAGAAATTGAGGCGCAGCAACTATGTCACTCCCAAGAACTACCTTGATTTTATTAACACCTATTCAAAATTGCTGGATGAGAAAACTCAGTGTAATATAGGTAAGCCTTGGGGATGGGGTGGTTGACAAAAGTCATTATTATTTATGGGTAAGGATTCGAGCGCTGATCTTTTCTTTAGTAAGATGGGGCATCTTCAGTATTGAGGCCAAACGAAGCACATCTTGGATTTTGTGTCTTGGAGCGATTCTTTCATGTGGGCAGGACCCTGGCATGTCCTTATTTTTGTTCTCAGTGTTGAGTCTTAGACTTTGAAGCTTTACATTTTGATCACATTAGCAATTTTTAAATTTTATTTTTTATCTTAGGGATAGGGTCTCTGTTTCCCAGGCTGGAGTGCAGTGGTGCAACCATGGCTCACTGCAGCCTCGACCTCCTGGGTTCACGTGCTCCTCCCGCCTCAGCCTCCTGAGTAGCTGGGACCACAGGTGCAGCCACCATGCCTGGCGCACATTAGAGACAACTATCTGCTGCAGCAGCATGCACTGCCGGACAGGGCTTTTTAAAAAGTGCTCTGGCTGTTGGCCAAGGGAAGCACTGTCTTCAGAAATACATTCATTTTGGCTGATGCTGTCCCAAGTATGGCAGTGGAGGTACTGAAAGACATGTGCCATCTTGTAAAAATGTTTTGTTTTGTTTTTGATAAGCTGAAGTTAGGCAAATCTCAGTGATTGTGTTGCGAACAGTGGCCACCTCGACGATGAACATAGGTGCCCTCTTTCCTCAGCTCAGTGCAAGCGTCTGGATGGGGGACTGGACAAGCTGAAGGAGGCCACCATCCAGCTGGACGAGCTGAACCAGAAGCTGGCCGAGCAGAAGATCGTGCTGGCGGAGAAGTCCGCCGCCTGCGAGGCCTTGCTGGAGGAGATCGCCGTCAACACCGCTGTAGGTGAGTGAGGGCGGGGCCAGGGCAGCCCATCCCCAACACCCAATACCCACCGTAGGTGAGTGAGGGCGGGGCCAGGGCAGCCCATCCCGAGCAGGACAGGGCTCTGCCAGGCCGTCCCTGTGAAACTGCTTGTAGGCACTGAGCGTGCCATCTTTGACCCTGCAATTCCTGTTTTCTTTCTGAATTCGTGTCCAGCCAGTCTTGTCCCCTTTCATAAGCACTGAGAAGCTACCATATGTAGGCCCCTGCGCTGGTAGCCTGAGGATGTTCAGGGGAGTGGAAAAGTCACTCGACCCTCTATGGGCTGGTGAACTAAGTCCGTGGGGTTGAAATGACCTAAGCCTTGGCACCATCGACGCGGGACTTTCTTGGTTCTTGAAGCTGTTTCAAGGTTCTTTCTTGGGCCCCTTCCCTCGGTCTTCTTGGCCGAGCCTCTGTGTCACCTGCACTGTCCTGCTCTTGACGACTCTACCCTCTCGCGATGCCTGGCACAGGACGGCTCCTGCAGCCCACAGCTCTGTGCCTGGCCTCTAAGCCTCCTCTCTAGGTCTTTGGGCCAGTGGCTTCTGATGTGTACCCTCCCCAGCTTGTTCCCAGATTCCTGCAGATGCCGCTCAACCTGCCTGCCTCTTCCTTCTCCTGCTGGTCCGTGTTCGTGTTGCTGCTAAGTGTCATCTCGGTTCAGTTCCTTTGTCATTGCACCCGGCCCTGTGCACAGGATCCATTTGTCATCACTCTGGCAACAGCACCTTAACTTGGTGTTGGCAAACTGCCTCTCCCCGACTCCCAGTGCCTGCCATCAGGATGGGCTTATTCTAACCCTGACAGACCAATTAGATGTTCTCTGGGACTGCACATTTTGAATCAGCCAATATAAAGACTGAAGATTATTTGTGTTCATTCATTGCACAGCAGCGCCGTGAAGAGACTGCATTCAGTGCCCGAGCCCAGATCCCTGAGGCGCCTCTAGTTTATGTGTTTCAGCATCTTCCATGTCTGTGAGCTACCATATCTTCTTAAAACAATTTCACGTTTTTCTTAACTCGACCATCATTAGCTTCTGTTGCTTGCAACCAAAGCAACTTAATCGATAGATATCCTTTCCCAGGAATTTGTGGCATATCCCTGCTGCCTGTTTTGATGCTGAGTCCTCACTGTGGCCGTGAAGGGTCCCATCAATCCCTCTATGTCATCTTGCCTACCTAATTTCTCATGACACCCTGTCGCCTGCTCACAGCATCACTTCTTCATGCCTGTGTGAGTCCTGCAGTAACTTGCTCTTTCTCTCCCTTTGGTCTGCTAAGAATATCCGTACCACTTCTTTCTTCCTGTCCATGTTTCTCCTTCCAGAACTTTGATCAAATGCCTCATTCCCACATAGCTGCACTTTGCTTTGATCTGTCTTTTAAAAACTATATATTTCTGGCCCCCTAAATGTAAAAAACTATATATTCCTGGCCCCCTAGATGTAAAACTAGACTGGAAGTGTCTTGAAGGATGCTGGTATTCCACGTATTCATCTGTCCAGTCAGCAGATACTGACTTCAGCTTCATGGCAGCCACCGTGGTAGGGAGAGTGGGGGCTAGAAACCGAATGAGACTCAACCCCTGCCTCGAAGAAGCTCACAACCAAGAGAGCCCCTCCCCCGGTGCCCAGGCCACAGTTTGTACTGAGGACCGCCTATTTGCCACACCTGTGTTTAGTGCCTCTCCTACCTGTGCTTGTTTTTCTTTCCCCATTGCCATCATCCTTGTCCAGGGTCACCTTGCTCCCACTTGGAATTTTGGAGGAAGCTTCATCTAGGAACTCTGTTTCCAGGGTTGCAAATGGTAGAAACTGAGCTCAAAGTGGCTTAATCCAAAGTGGAAACGCATTGATTCCAGAGGCATGCTGGCTTCAGGCACAGCTGGATCTAGGATTCAAATGTATCAGTGGGAATCTTTCCTTCCCTTTCTTGGCTCTGCTGTCTTCCGTTTGGGCTTCATCTCAGGCAGCCGGCTCTGTCCATGCTGAGACTTTGGGAGCCTCCAGCATGAGGTTGGCATCCTATTAGCTCAGCATCCCCAGGGGAGAGAGGGCTCTTCTTTCCCATACATTCCCTCAAAGCTCCCAGAGTTGGCTGTGATTGGACAGATTTGGGTCACATGCCCATGCCGAAACCAATCCTGGTGGCCATAGGAATGGGATACATTGACACGTCCCACAGAGGGTAGGGTGGAGTGCAAACAATCCTCTCTCCTGAGGGTGGCTCTTCAGCACCTGCCCCAGCCTCCAGCCCATGCTTCTGCCTGGCTGAAAGAGCCCACAATTTTGCTCCTCAGCATGACTCAAGCACCTGGCTTCGCCAGCCCCCTTTGCAGGCTGCTCCCCACACTGAGGTTCCTGAGGCCTGTACCAGCCCTCTTCCTTCCCAGCCAGCTCTGGTGGTGTCCTGTTACCTCTGCACTCCGTTCCTGCTGGCACCACCCCCCACCCCCGCGCCTCAGCACGCTCACAGCTTAGACAGCTTCCTTTCTGCTTTTCTGTTCCGAAGGTTCCACACTCGTGATCTTGCTACCCTTTTCTGATGCATTCATCCCCCTGCTGCCCCAGGGACAAGTAGTGCCTGGGCTGGGGACCCTTTACAGTGTCAAGGCCCGTGCACGGCTTTGCACGCTGCAAGTGCCAGTGCTGGCTTGTTAGCTGTGGAGATGGGTTCCGAGAGACCTTATCATGGGGGAGGCAGAGCCTCTGCAGCCAGCATCTGTTTGTAGAAGGCCTGCTGCATTCATCTCCCGGGGCTGCTCTAACAAAGCACCATGATCTGGGGGCTGAAAACAACAGACATTTATTTTTTTAAATTAATTAATTAATTTATTTTTTTGAGACAGAGTCTCGCTCTGTCACCTAGGCTGGAGTGCAGTGGCGCGATCTCGGCTCACTGCAACCTCTGCCTCCTGGGTTTAAGCGATTCTCCTGCCTCAGCCTCCTGAGTAGCTGGGATTACAGGTGCCCGTCACCACGCCTAGCTAATTTTTGTATTTTTAGTAGAGACGGGGTTTCGCCATGTTGGCCAGGCTGATCCCGAACTCCCAACCTTAGGTGATCTACCTGCCTCGGCCTCCCAAAGTGCTGGGATTACAGGTGTGAGCCACCATGCCTGGCCAACAACAGAAATTTATTCTCTCACAGTTCTGGAGGCCAAAGTCTGACATCAAGGTGCCAGGACCATGCTCCCTCTGAAAGCTCTAGGGGAAGCCTCTTCCAGCTTCTTGGGGTTGTTGGCAGCCCTTGGTATTCCTTAGCTTAGCTTATAAATGCACCACTCCAGCGTCTGTCTCCATTGCCACACGCCCCTCTTCCCTGTGTGTCTGCACATGGCCTTCTGATAGGGACCCCAGGCATTGGATTTAGGGCCCACCCTCACCCCGTATGACCTAATCTTAACTAATTCCATCTACAAAGACCCACTTCCAAATAAGGTCACATCCTGAGGTCCCAGTGGGCACGAATCTTGGTGGGGTGACACTGTTCAAACCACTGTGAGCCAAGCCCTGCTCTAGGTTTTGGGGTTCCGGCCCTCGGGGAGGTGCTGACATCCTAGTGAGTGAGGGCACCCAGGCAGTGAATCAGCCAGTGGTGAAATGAAACTTCCGATTGCGATTGGTGTCATGAAGCAAGTCAGCAAGGAAGGGAGAGAGAGGACGACAGAGGGGCAGGCTCCTTAGAGGGTGGCTCTGGCTGGGCCCGAGTGAGCGTAGGAAGAGGCGATGAGAGGCAGAAGGAGGAGATCGCAGGGAGCCGGTAAGCAGGAGGGGGACCCCAGCATCCTCACTGAACACCGGCGAGGCAGGGCTGGGGGCTATCAGGAGCCATGGGATTTGTCCTGGATGGAGTGGGTGGGACACAGGTGGGCCAGTTGAGGAAGGTCAGAGTCAGGGTGGCTGCCTAGTGCTGGAGGCCCCACGCATGGTGAGGTTTTCTGTCCCACCAGGATCACTGAGGCTGCCACATTGGCCAGAGCCCCTTAGATCCCCGCTAGGGCTCAAGCCAACCTTTGAGGACTGCACTCTGCTCAGAGCCGGGGCCGCGAGTGCATCTCCTCTGAGCCCAAGCTTTACTCACCCCCTGTCCTACCCTGCAGCCGAGGAGAAGAAGAAACTGGCAGAGGAAAAGGCCATGGAGATAGAGGAGCAGAACAAAGTCATTGCCATGGAGAAGGCCGAGGCCGAGACGACCCTGGCAGAGGTCATGCCCATCCTGGAGGCCGCCAAGCTGGAACTGCAGAAGCTGGACAAGTCGGACGTGACTGAGATTAGGTAATGCACCTGAGCCACCATTCTGGGCTTCCATTCCACCTCTGCAAGCCAGTAGTCTCCATGATCGTGGCAACCAGGAGCTTACAAAGGAGCCGATGCCACATGCTGCCACTGTGCCTGGCTCTCTCCATGGTGGAGACTGTTGTTGCCCTCATTTTCGGATGGGGAAAATGAGGCCCAGGGAGATGAGGTGGGCGCCCCAGGCATCCAGATCCCCCAGCTAGTAGGAAGCAGGGCCTGCTGACCTTGAACCCAGGCCAAGGGAAGGATGGAGTGGGGTAAAACAGTGCTCTTCACGGAACATGCGGGGGCAAGTGTCCGCCCTAAGCAGGGGCAGGATGCTCACCATGGGGCTGAGCCCTGCTGAAAACAGCTCTGCAGAGATGTGTGCACACCACGGCCGGACTGGCGATGCCTGAATCCATTTCCAGCCAAGGAAGCTTTCAAGGAGGGTGAGAGTAGGTCACTATTGAGGCCCCCATACATCTTGCAAATCAATCTGTAAGATGACCCTGTCCCCCACACCAGAGGGCTCATCTGCTGTCAGCGAGGGTAACGTGGTGTGGCGTGGGCTAACAAGCTTTCTCCTCGCATGGCTTGGCCTCCCCAGGGCACTGTTCCTGGGCTCTGATGGTCAGTTGAGTCTTGTGAGTAAAGCCCTGGGAGGGAACACTGTCCTGGTGCCAGCCTCCGCCCACTGCCTCTGCCCCTGTGCTGCCTGGCCCCGCACAGACCCCTCGGCGTGGGAGCCTCAGCTCTCTCCTTCCCCACTCTTCATCCAGAAGGAGATCAGTCTTCCTGGCCCCACACACGGGTCTCGCAGCCGAGAGGCTCCGTTCCTGGGTCAGTAATGGGCTTCCATTCTGGGCTCCCGCTGGAGCGGTGCATGTTCCCTGTGCTTCCTATTTCTCTGCCTCTGTGCTGCCTGTGAAGGCTGAGCAGCGCTCCTTGTCCAAGTCCGTGCCCTTGTTTTCTTATTGGTGAAACATTTGTGAATTTGAGCATGGAATTCAGCTCACTCCAGGACAGAATGACCTCCCGGTTCATTCTTGGGAGGTCACTTGGAGGTGCTGCTGTGGTCAGCAAGAAGTCATTAGTTCAGTGTTGAGGATGGTGTCAAGGAGGGTATAAGGATCGATGTATTAAAACTTCAGCACTAGGCGTTGGAAGTTTAGGCTGAGGTACCAGGACACAGTGGAAGTGCACACCCAGCGGAGGGGTAGGAGACACGGTCAGCACACACATCCTCCAGGGAAATTTCTAGCTACCGGTGATAGGATTTGGGCCACTGCTCCCAGGTCAGCAGCATAAAAACATCGTGAAAGCAGAGACTAGGAAGGATTTTTGAAGGGGATTTATTTGAAGAGAAGGAACGGTGAGTCCCTTCCATCAATCCAAGGTGGAGGAGTGGGGGGGAGCTTCCATGGGGCCAAATAGAGGGCGTGGCATGTGTCCCCTGCAGTGAGACAGGCATTGCAGACAGGTGCCCCGCTCACCCCTGAGAAAGCCTAAGTACAAAAGGAATAATTTTTACACATTCATACATGGCTCTGCCTCTTTGCTGTGTGACGTTTAGCAAGTCATCTAACCTCTCTTTGCTCCAGTTTCTTCATTTGTAAAATGTGGATAAGAATTGTCTCGGCTGCATCAGGGTCTTCATGAGGATCATATGAGCCTATATGTGAAGAACTGGGCTGGGCACATGGTCAGAGCCATGTAAGCATTAGCTGTGATTATGGCTCCAGCATCCAAAAGGTATGCTGGGAAAAGCCCACGGCCACTGTGTCCTCTATCAGCTGTGGTCACCTTCCCACACTGCAACAGGTAGTATGGGTATATCATTTCTCATATACACTTCCTGAGGATTTTCATGCATGACCAAGGCAACCAGGTACACAAGGGTCTCTTCTCTTCCTGACTTCAGGTTCTGAGGGTTTGGAGAGCAGGGGATGCCTGCAAATCCTTTTTTCCTTCTTTTATATACAAATTATAACACCCTATGCATATCTTTCTGCATCTTTTCTGCTTAGCAGTATATTTTGGAGAGCTTTTGCATGTTGATGTATGATGAACTTCCCCGATATTTTAGAACATTCCTTCACATTCCATTGTGTGGCTGTGCCGTAATTTATTTAACAAGGCCTTACTGATGAGTTTGTTAAATAAATTGATTGTGTCTCCAGTCTTTTGCCTTTACAAACAGCGTGGCAAAGAATAAATCTGACCATAGTTCATTGTGCACGTGGGCGAGTCCACCTGCAGGATACATTTCTGGAAGTGGAATTGCTGGGTCCCAGGGTGTAGGCATTTATAGTGTTCATAGCTGTTGCCTAATCCCCGCCGTGGGGATGGAACCTATTTATCCTCACCAACAATCCAAACGAGTAGTACCTGCTTTTTCCTAGACTTACCAACAGGGGGCGCGATCACATGTTGGGATTTTTGCATATTTTGTAGATGAGTGGTACTTGTGTAGTTTTAATTTGCATTTCTCTTAGTGTGAGTGAAGCTGGCCTTTTTTTTTTTTCCTATGAGAAAAGTGTGTCTAAGAGTTATGTGTATTTCCTTTTCTGTGAACTTGGTTTGCGTATCTATTGGGTCGTGGTTATTGTTGCTTTTTATTTCAAAACCATTTCCAGGGGCTTTTTATATAATGGGGAGCTCAGCTTTTTATCCATAAGGTGAGTTGCAAATCTTTTCCTGGTTTGTCATGGGCTATTTGACTTTGTTTATGAGGTTTATGTGTGTGTTTGTTTTTGCCATCTATGTTTATTTTTATGTGGCAGGTTTTAGCAATATTTTATTTTGTGGCTTTTTTTTTTGAGACAGAGTCTTGCTCAGTCACCCAGGCTGGAGTGCAGTGGCACGATCTCGGCTCACTGCAACCTCCGCCTCCCGGGTTCACGCCATTCTCCTGCCTCAGCCTCCTGAGTAGCTCCAGCCTCCTGAGTACCTCCAGACGCCCGCCACGACGCCTGGCTAATTTTTTTTTGTATTTTTAGTGGAGATGGGGTTTCACCATGTTAGCCAGGATGGTCTCGATCTCCTGACCTTGTGATCCACCCGCCTCGGCCTCCCAAAGTGCTGGGATTACAGGAGTGAGCCACTGCGCCCGGCCTTTGTGGCTTTTTTTAAATTTATTTTTTGAGACAGAGTCTCATTCTGTCACCTAGGCTGGAGTGCAGTGGCGCGATCTCGGCTCACTGCAACCCCTGCCTTCCAGGTTCAAACGATTCTCCTGCCTCAGCCTCACAAGTAGCTGGGGTTATAGACACCCACCACCATGCCCGGCTAATGTTTGTATTTTTAGTAGAGATGGGCTTTCACCATGTTGGCCAAGCTGGTCTCAAACTCCTGACCTCAGGTGATCCACCCACCTCAGCCTCCCAAAGTGTTGGGATTACAGGCATGAGCCACCGCACCCGACCTATTTTGTGGCTTTTGGATATTGTGTCCTAGTTAAAAGGCCTGATCACACTGCAAGATTGTAAAATAATTTCCCCATGATTTCTTTTGGTACTCTTATGTTTTAATTTTTTATATTTAAATCTTTTATCTATTGAGGATTTTTTTCCTGGGGTTCTGTGTGAGTTTGGATCCAATTTGAGTTTTTCCAGATGAGTAAAATCTGGCTTTTCTCAGGTCATTTGGATGTTAAGCGCAATGAGCCGGCACTTACATCTTGACAATTTTATAATCTTTTAAGTCCTTAAAAAGCGCTTCCTTCTTATCATACTCAATCCTCTTTGTAGAAATCATTAAATGTTAAGGCAGGAAGATGAAGAGTCATGAAGATTAGAAGTAGATGTTTCTCTAACTATAAAACTATAAAAGCCTCCCTTTGTTGCTGGCTCTTGAGTTTCACTTTTCTTCCTTTCATTCATTCAGTAGTCAGTGGGTGTCTGTCCCCCACCCCACCCCTGCCCTGAGCAGGCACTGGGGCCCATCAGCAGTGAGGCAGGCAGGGTCTTCACTGCGTGGCGCTGACACTCTGTTTTCCTATAGGAATCCCATGTGCATGGGGAAATTATGTAGGATTAGGTTAGGAAGGAAAGGTCCTTGCTGCTCTGACAGTGGATGTTGGGACCTGACCTAGTCATGGTCATGGAGGGCGGAGGGGGCACCTTCTCTGAGATTGCAAGGAGCTCGGCTGGAGAAAAAGCAGAGACAGCTGGTGTGTCAGGGGTAGAGTACTGGGAGGTGGGGAGTGGGGTTTATAAGGATTATTTTCCTCTAGGGAGGGTAGCATATCATTCTCCCTTTCTCATTCCTGAGTTTGTTTTGTGATAGAAGAAAGGAATCAAATTAAACAGACATCTCCCTTTCTCTTGACTTGCACCCTCCACATTTCACACACCTTGGTCATCCGGCATTGTGGAAAGTGGTATGTTCTGGATAAGTGAGATCCCAGAGCGTGGCCTGCAACCCAACAGCAGAAAACGTCACTTTGGTAGACTCAGAGGATTTGGGAACTGGAAGGTTCCAGTTCTGCGTCTCTACTTCACAGATGGGGAAACTGACGCCCTGGCTGGTTCCTAACTTGCCCAAGGGCTCAGGACCCCGCCGCAGGCCTGGGCTCCTTCTGTCTTGAATCTGAAAACATCTCCCCCATTCTTTCCCCACCTGCTTGTTCACAGAGCGGTGGCCGGGGCCTGGTTTCCATCCACCCTGAAGGGACCTTTTAAAGACACTTGACAGCCCCGCCGCTTTCCTAAGCAGCCAACACCAGCGTGATCGAGCCTTTTCCCGGGGACTCAGGGCCTTTCTTTCATCACTGGGCTTTGTGCTGAAGTGTGGGCGCCCTCCCTCCTGGCTGTTGCCCTGGCTTGTCCGTACACTATGGGGCCTTCTCTCCTCTGCTGTCTGTGTGGGAGTGTGTGAGGGTTCCGGGGTCAGGAGGGGTGGGGGATTTGCTCACTGCAGAAAGCCTCCAGGTTGCTGTCTGCTCAGGCTGTCTCCTCCCTGTCTCTCTGTCTCCTCCCTGTCTCCCTGTCTCCTCCCTGTCTCTCTGTCTCCTCCCTGTCTCTCTGTCTCCTCCCTGTCTCCCTGTCTCCTCCCTGTCTCTCTGTCTCCTCCCTGTCTCTCTGTCCCCTCCCTGTCTCCTCCCTGTCTTCCTGTCTCCTCCCTGTCTCTCTGTCTCCTCCCTGTCTCCCTGTCTCTGTTCTTGTGCATGTGTCTCCCCCTCTGTCCCTCCATCCCCCTCTTTCTTCTCTGGCTCACCCCAGCCTCCTACCAGAGCACAAATGCCTGGGCCCCTGCCTGGCCGCCCCCACACTGCATCCATGCCCTCCGGGACCTCTGTCTCCTGCTCTTCTCTCCTGCTTTTCCTTCCTCTCCTGCTTTGCCTTGTCTGTGCTGTTCTCTTCCACTTCTGTCTTTCCATGGCGTGGTCTGGGAGACTCCTGTGGCTTTCACTGACCTTGCCTGGCAGTGGGATGCCCCGGTGAGATGGGTTCGGTTCCTTCTCTGGCCTTTGTACCAGCGCTGCTGTTCTGTCTCCTGTTCCGTTGGCAGTTCTGGTTCTCCAGAGGAACAAGGGCAGTGGACATCTGCGTTCTGGAGGAGCAGAGTGATGATCTAGTCTTATCAAAGCCACAGAACACAATTACGGGGCAACATAGCCTGGAAAGAGCCCAGGATGCGGGGACCCCAGGCTTCCCAGGCGGTGTCAGCACAGCCAGTCATGCAAGCTCCCAGGACCCTGTTTGTCCATCTAGTAAATGGGGAGAGATAATGGTTGGTGGTGATGGTGATGGTGATGATGATGATGATAATGACAATAATGACGGCAGCCACCATTTAGAGTCTGAGGAATCAGCCGAGGGTGTAATTAAAACATAGGTGCTCAGGCTGCCCCCTAACCACTGATCCAGACGCTCCGGGGACGGCCTGGGTTTGTATTTTAATGCTGCCCCCGCACCATTCCAGGCGCCTGGTCTGGAACCTGAGAGGGGGACCCGGCCCTGCCCTTAGGGACGCTCCCGCCCAGGAGTGCGGTTTGTGTTGGGACCTGGCTTCTTTCGTTTGCTTGCAGCAGTAGCTCCAGGGACTGTCTTTTGGTTGAGCTCGTTTTTCTGGAGCTCTCTTTCAGGCCAGATCCTGGCCACATCCCGGGGTTGTGACCCACGTGCCTTGGTTTCTTGCCAGGTCGTTTGCTAAGCCCCCGAAGCAGGTGCAGACGGTCTGCGAATGCATCCTCATCATGAAAGGGTACAAAGAGCTGAACTGGAAAACAGCCAAGGGCGTGATGTCCGACCCGAATTTCCTGCGGTCTCTGATGGAGATTGATTTTGATTCGATTACCCAGAGCCAAGTGAAAAACATCAAAGGTGAGTGTAGCCACGTGTGGGAATCGCCAGGGTGGATCTCGGTCTGGCATCTCAGGCTCTGGGACAGGGATGGAGGGCAAGGAGGCTTGTCGTGGGCAGGCCCTCCCCTTCTGGTCAGATGGTATCGGATGGAACAGGCAACTGATGGTCACCAGAGGAAAACAGCAGCCCCATGACGTGACCCAGGGAGAGTGGCTGGGGATGCGCGGCGGCAGCCGTGCCCACTGAGGGTTCGATTCGGCACTAGTCCTAGCTCTCCGTGTCAGGAAACAGGATCTTCTCATTGGAACCTAGCCCAGCCTTGTCTTCTGTGCATCTCACCCAGTGCTGTTCAGTGCACATGCAGAAGCCCAGAGCTAGTCTGACCTTGACTTCCCCCCTTTCTCCTCTTGTCAGTGTCAAGTCTTCTGGAGGTCCCTGGGGAGTGGGCATGGGGGTGGGCAGCATCACTGATGGCCAGCCTCTCCTCCATCTTTGGTTATAGGACTGAGTTCCCCTTGAGCTCAGTTCCTGACCCTGCCCAGTGCTCAGCCAGGCGGTGATAGTGTAATGGTGTTAGTCTTTGCGAAAAGCAATACAAGTTAACGCTGTGTTTGATGGTTTATTTAGACTCTTATCAAATGCTTTTTCTTAGCCCCTTAAAAACAAAAGCAATCTCAACACAAATGACCCCAACCACTACAAAAACCCAAGGCACTCCCTCTGTCTGAATCTTCATTGGATGGACTTCCGTTTATGTGAAATTACTCCTGGGGTGAGGGTGCGGGTGAAGGTAACAGGTGACCTGTAGTGGCCTGTGAATTCCAGTTAGCCACCTGGGTGCCCAGTTGGGAGTCTCCGTTACGCCCTGGGTCTCCTGTGTGACACCTGCGTCCTGGGTGGCAGTAAACCATGTCCCTTGCCCACATCTGAAACATCCGTTTATGCAGAACCCATCTTGGTTTGACACCACGCTGTTGGCCGTAGGAGAGCTTTGTGCATTCTGCTCACAGGGCCACTGAAGAATAAGAAACTAGTTATGCTTATTTTGTCTATTTTATGCTCCCAAGATGAAGCTTGCCACTCATAAAAATTATTGCATGTTTCACGTTAGGCCTCTTGAAGACTCTTAATACCACAACTGAAGAAATGGAAGCTGTCAGCAAAGCCGGGCTGGGGATGCTGAAATTTGTTGAAGCTGTAATGGGCTACTGTGATGTTTTCAGAGAAATCAAGCCCAAAAGAGAGAAGGTATTGCCCGAATGTAAGACTGCCACACCACTGCCAAGGGACCCATTCAGAGTCAGAATTCACATGTACATACCTTTGCTGAAAAACTTCTCCCGAGGTTCTGACTTCAAGCTGCATAAACTTTCCCTCCACCACCCAATAAATGGCAATCCTGAAACACCACTATCACTTAGGCATAGTGTGGGTGGTGGACAAGACCGAGGTCTGAAAGAGTTTCAAACTTCCTGTGAAAGTGTAGTATAAAGATGTTCAGACCAGGCGTGGTAGCTCATGCCTGTAATCCAGCACTTTGGAAGGCCCAGATGGGAGGATCACTTGAGCCCAGGAGTTTGAAACCAGCTTGGGCAACATAGTGAGACCCTGTCTCTACAAAAAAAAAGTTTTTTAATTAGCCGAGCATGGTGGCACACACCTGTACTGCCAGCTACTTGGGAGGCTGCAGTGAGCTGTGATTGTACCACTGCACTCCAGCCTAGGTGACAGAGTGAGACCCTGTCTCAAAAAAAAAAAAATGACGTAAAGATGTTTAAAGTTGTTTCTCTAGGGTCAAAGCAGAGTTTCTCAGCTGCAGCTGAATGTGGCCTGGTGGTGGTGGGGGGTCTGTCCTGGGGGATCTGTCCTGGGGGGTCTGTCCTGGGGGGGGTCTGTCCTGGGGGGTCTGTCCTGGGGGGGGTCTGTCCTGGGGGGTCTGTCCTGGGGGGGGTCTGTCCTGGGGGAGTCTGTCCTGGGGGGGTCTGTCCTGGGGGGTTTGTCCTGGGGGGGGTCTGTCCTGGGGGCGTCTGTCCTGGGAGGGGTCTGTCCTGGGGGGGTCTGTCCTGGAAGGGGGTCTGTCCTGGGGGGGTCAGTCCTGGGGGTTCTGTCTTGGGGGGTCTGTCCTGGGAGCATAAGACCTGGGGGGGTCTGTCCTGGGGGGGTCTGTCATGGGGGGATCTGTCCTGGGGGGTTTGTCCTGGGGGAGTCTGTCCTGGGGGTGGTCTGTCCTGGAGGGGTCTGTCCTAGGGGCCTGTCCTGGGGGGTTTGTCCTGGGGGGGTTTGTCCTGGGGGGGTCTGTCCTGGGGGGGGGGTCTGTCCTGGGGGAGTCTGTCCTAGGGGGGTCTGTCCTGGGAAGGACTGTCCTGGGGGGACTGTCCTGGGGGGTCTGTCCCGGGGGGACTGTCCTGGGGGGTCTGTCCCAGGGGATCTGTCCTGGGGGGGGTCTGTCCCGGGGGGTCTGTCCTGGGGGGACTGTCCTGGGGGGATCTGTCCTGGGGGGGTCTGTCCTGGGGGCATCCGTCCTGGGGGGGTCTGTCCTGGGGGGGGTCTGTCCTGGGGGGGTCTGTCCTGGGGGGGTCTGTCCCGGGGGGACTGTCCTGGGGGGGTCTGTCCTGGGGGCGTCTGTCCTGGGGGTGGTCTGTCCTGGGGGGGGTCTGTCCTGGGGGGGTCTGTCCCAGGGGATCTGTCCTTGGGGGACTGTCCTGGGGGGGTCTGTCCTGGGGGCATCTGTCCTGGGGGGGGTCTGTCCTGGGGGGGTCTGTCCCAGGGGGTCTGTCCTGGGGGGATCTGTCCTGGGGAGGTCTGTCCTGGGGGGTCTGTCCTGGAGGTGTCTGTCCTTGGTGGGGGTCTGTCCTGTGGGATTCTGTCCTGGGGGGGTCTGTCCTGGGGGCGTCTGTCCTGGGAGGGGTCTGTCCTGGGGGGGTCTGTCCTGGGGGGGGGTCTGTCCTGGGGGGGTCTGTCCTGGGGGGTCTGTCCTGGGGGGTCTGTCCTGGGAGGGGTCTGTCCTGGGGGTTCTGTCCTGGGGGGGTCTGTCCTGGGGGGGTCTGTCCTGGGGGGTTTGTCCTGGGAGGGGTCTGTCCTGGGGGGGTCTGTCCTGGGGGGGGTCTGTCCTGGGGGGGGGGTCTGTCCTGGGGGGGTCTGTCCTGGGCACTATAGGATGTTTAGCAGCATCTTCAGCCTCACCCCACTGGATGCCAGCAGCACCCTCCCTCCAAGCTGTGACATCCAGAAATGTCTCCAGACAGTACCAAACGTCCCCTGGGGGACAAAACCTACCGCAGTTGAGAGCAGCGGGGCCAAAGTCACATGAAGATCACAAAATACAAAGAGAATAAGGTTAATTTGATCATTTTGAGTCATATTGTGACCTTGCGCTATAGCTCGGAATTGTATTATTCAGAAAGCTTGGAACCAATAGAAATACTGTTACTGTCTATGGTATATTCTTCTGAGTTTTTGACTTAGAACCACAGTGTCATCTTACGGAGACCTCAGTACATGAAAGTAAAACCATTTGATAACTTGGGTGCTGTGTCTTCTAATGGGACATGGAGTTTTTGCAGCAAACAGTCGAAGAAGAAACTAAGAAGCCACGTGTCTCAACATAGCATATAGAGGCTCTGAAAAGCACAGACACCATTAGAGCAGTTTAGACATGTGGCCTGGTTTGAGGCCATGGGATCGCGGCCCCACCACGGTCCTTTTCCCCATCTTTTTGCAAATTGTCTTCACTTAGGTGGCCAGGCTGGAGCGGAATTTTTACCTCACTAAACGGGAACTGGAAAGGATCCAGAATGAGTTGGCAGCAATTCAGAAAGAGCTGGAAACATTGGGTGCCAAATATGAGGCCGCCATACTGGAAAAGCAGAAGCTGCAGGAAGAAGCCGAGATCATGGAGAGGCGGCTGATTGCCGCAGACAAACTCATCTCGGGTCTGGGGTCAGAAAACATCAGGTTAGCGCTGCTCACGAGCCCACCTGTTGCGGTTTGTAAACGGACGTCACCCACAGAGTTTCTCGCCATGTTGATTCTTTATCTCACGTTGTGTTTTTATGTGAAAACCATGTGACCAGGTCTTATGTTCCTATTATCATGTTTATGGCAGCTAATGGCTATTTTATAGGCTCTTGTTTGTATTAGGCACTGAGTGTTATTTATTAATTACTAAGGGTCAAGGAGGCAGTGCAGCTGTGGAGACGGGGGAATCCATACCATTTAGCAGGGTGCTCTAGGTTTGGGAAGTGTTCACTTCTTGGTGACCTCTAACCCCTGGGTCTTTTCTAGAAGAGTCTGTGGGAGAAGCCCATCTCTGTCACCGCACAGATGCCTTCTAAGGGTCCCAGTGGCTTGTTCAATCCTGGGCTTCAGTCTTAAGTGATGGGGCTGTTTGATATTTATGGGCAAGACCGCTTGGCCACAGCTTATTCACCAAATAGGGCAACAATTTTGAATCTAGCATCTGTAAGTGTGGTGTAGAAAACACTGAAAAATGTTGTTTGCGTGTGGGAAACAATTTTCAGTATTTCTTAAACCTAAGTCTTGGGGCATTTACTGAAAGAGGACAAATGAAACAGACGCTTTCTTTTATCTTGGGTGGAATTCTGTCATTGAGTGAGGCCAGAACTTGTTAGCTCTGCCGGGCTGATTTATATGTCTTTGATTAAGGCTTCAGAAACAACGTGATTACTACTTAATATGATCCACGCAATGTGATTACTGCTTAATAAAGACCACAGGCCTTTACTGAGCCCCCTGCTTGATGCTGGCTCCAAATACCAGGTTCACTAGGGTGGGAAGTTGCAAGATAAGCTGTTGGTCTCTGTTCCTCACAAGGAAAGAATATCTCAAAACATGTTTCCATCTGGCTAGCCCTGTTAGCAAGGTATCAAGCTGGTTCTTCTGGAATGTTCCTTTTGGTTGTGGCCAGAAGGTAAACTCACGGCAGCCTCCCTCTCCTCCCGTGCCAGGTGGCTGAACGACCTGGATGAGCTGATGCACCGGCGCGTGAAGCTGCTGGGGGACTGCCTGCTCTGCGCGGCTTTCCTCAGCTACGAGGGAGCCTTCACCTGGGAGTTCCGTGACGAGATGGTCAATCGGATTTGGCAAAATGACATCCTGGAGCGGGAGATCCCCCTGAGCCAGCCTTTCCGGCTGGAAAGCCTGCTCACGGATGATGTTGAGATCAGCAGGTGTGTGGCACCCTGAGCCAGCAGGAGGGAGGGGACACCTTAGCACAGGGGGTCTACGTGGGTGTCACCCTGGGGGGAGGCAATGGCCTGGGGGGCATCACCAGGACCACAGTTGGCTCGACTGCATGGAAGTGGCCGGGCAAGCTGCAAACCCAGCACGGAGCCCTTCTCCCTGGCCTCTGAGGAGGCTTGTGTGGCCTGGGGATGGGTAGATTGTTCTGGAAGGCCAGTCCTACCACCCTTAGCCCTTGGCTCACAAATTGGTGAGAAAAATTCATTTCCCAATGGCTGTTTCTTCCAGATGGGGATCCCAGGGCCTTCCCCCCGATGAGCTCTCCGTTCAGAATGGCATCCTCACCACCCGGGCCAGCCGCTTCCCTCTGTGTATCGACCCCCAGCAGCAGGCCCTCAACTGGATCAAGAGAAAAGAGGAGAAGAACAATCTGCGGGTATGGTGGCTCCTCCCAGGGCGTCTTCTGCCCCCTATTCCTGTTCTCTGGAGAATGCCCCTCCCGCCTCCTGTACGTGGCAGTCCCTAGCCTCAGCGAGGCTGGGCTGAAATGCTTCCATCCTGACCCCCATGCGGAGCCCTCCCCCGGCTCCGCCTCCGCCTCCACCCCGTGGGTCTGCCAGGGCAGCTCAAACCGCCATGAACTCTGCCTCTCCCCTCGCAGGCTGTGAGCAACCTTAGCTTCGTGTTCCTCTGTCCAGTACGGGGTTCGTGGTCTGGGTGCTCAGTCACTATTTTTTGGAGCTGAGGTGGGGGATGGGGATGCAGGGGAGGAGAGGGGAGAGTAATGGCTTGATTGAGATGTAATTCACATACCACACCTTTCCCCCACTGAAAACATACAATTCAGTTTGAGTTTTAGTATATTTACAGAGTTGTATACCAATCACCAGAGTCAGTCTTAGAACATTTTTATTATCCCTGGAAGAAATGCTACATCCTTTAGCCATCACCCCTCCAGTCCTTCCGTTTCTCCCTCCCCGAGCCCCTGGCAGCCACTCATCTGCTTTCCGTCTGTGAATGTGCCTCCTCTGGACATTTCTTAGGAATGGACTCAGACGCTGTGTGGCCTTTTGTGTCTGGCGCCTTTCACTCAGCCTGATGTTTTCAAGGTCCGTCCTTGCTGTAGTGCATCAGGGCGTCATTCCTTCCTCGGGCTGAATGATATTCTGGTGTATGAACAGACACATTGTGTTCATCCATCCATTTGCTGAGGGACAGTTGGGTTGTCCTACTTTTTGGCTGTTTGAAGAATGCCGCTGTGAATGTTGGTGCACACGTTTCTATGTGGCCATGTGTTTTCAGTTCTCTTGGGGCGATACCTAGGAATGGAATTGCCGGGGCGGCCCAATCACTTTTTGCTGAGCTAATGAACAAATTAATTATTTTCAATTTAGCTTTTCCTCATTTTTTTCTGGTCCTTGATCTCAGGTATTTGCCTGCTGTTAGAGGAAGCCCATTTGTACTCCAAGGTCAGGGGAACAGTCTGCCTCCAAAATGCACATGGAGCTATCAGGGAGCAAATACTATGAGGGCAGGAACTTTTCTAGACTCCCTCTTCCCTCAGCCTGCCAGGGAGCACTGAAATTGTCAGCCTACCCCTAGTCCAATTCCAACATCTACCCTCTCTCTTAAAGAGGAGGGGTTCTAGCTTACGGGAGAGGGGCTGAGGAATCCCCTTCCTTTCCTCTCTACCCTGTTTGAGCAAGATCCTGCCCTGAGCCTGGACCTCATGGTGTATATGCGTTATACCCCTTGCTTCTCTCTTCTTTTCACCTCTGGCCCCCTCCAAGTTCCTGGCCCATCCACTTCCCACTTCCAAGCCATTCTCCCCTTATATTTGGCAGGGCCACAGTTAAACGTGGGCTTTCAGCATCTGCCTCCCTTCTCTTCCAGGTCGCTTCCTTTAATGACCCTGACTTCCTCAAGCAGCTAGAGATGTCCATAAAGTACGGGACCCCTTTCCTGTTCCGCGATGTTGATGAATACATCGATCCTGTGATTGACAACGTCTTAGAAAAAAATATAAAAGTCTCCCAAGGACGGCAGTTTATTATCCTGGGAGACAAGGAAGTGGACTATGATTCAAATTTCAGACTGTACCTGAACACCAAGCTGGCCAATCCCAGATATTCCCCATCCGTGTTTGGGAAAGCTATGGTGATCAATTACACTGGTAAGAATGTGTAGAACCTCCACTGCTAATTCAGATGGTTATGAGGGAGACCGCAACCTCAGATCAAGGCATTCATGGGACATCATTTCACTCAGTGACCCCAGATCATTCTCTCATAGGCACATCTGGACTAGTCAGCTCTTACCAATTAGGTACCACTTAGAAGGTGTGAGGCCATGAGTCACCTGTCATGAGTCACGCTGAGACGGGGCCGTGGGCTTATGTGTTCACACATGGGGTGGGATGGGACCTCTGACTGTGGGGGCAGGAAGTTACTCTATATTCGTGTATTTAAAATACATGTTGTGATGTTGAATTTTTTTTTTCTTCCTCTCAGTTGAATTCTGATAGAAATGGGATGTTATCTCTTACATTCTCTAGGGCTGTCATGCTCCTGCTTAAATAGGCTAATTTGATTTGGATGTACTTTCTTTTCTTTTTTCTTTTTCTTTTTTTGTACAGATGGGGTTTGTCTGTGTTGTCTGGGCTCAAACTTCTGGGCTCAAGTGATCCTCCTGCCTCTGCCTCCCAAAGTGCTGGGATTACAGGCATGAGCCACTGCGCCCAGTCTGGGTATACTTTAAACTATGGCACCCCAGTCCGTGGAAGCCTGGGTTTTATTTCAGTGTGTTTTTTCCTTTTTATCTGCCACTCTGCACCACAGCATCGCTGTTTTGCTCCTGCCTGCCACCTTGCTGCTCTAGAGTGACTTTGGTGGGCAGTGAATCCTCGTGCCTCTGGCCTGCTGGCTGAGACCCGCGCTAAGCTTGTCCCGTCACAGCAGGGCAGCGGGAGAGACTGTTGTTGGGGGCCGCAGGTGGTGAGGGCCTCTCACTGTCCCCCACAGTCACGCTGAAGGGCCTGGAGGACCAGCTGCTGAGCGTGCTGGTGGCTTACGAGAGGCGGGAGCTGGAGGAGCAGCGGGAGCACCTCATCCAGGAGACCAGCGAGAACAAGAACCTGCTCAAGGACCTGGAAGATTCCCTCCTTCGGGAGCTGGCCACGTCCACGGGGAACATGCTGGACAATGTGGACCTGGTGCACACCCTGGAGGAGACCAAATCCAAGGCAACAGAGGTAGCAACCACAGTGGAAGAGGCCGTGAGTCAGGCGGGGCCTGCATGCGCCGTTGGAGCGTCCATTTCTCTGTCTGCTCAATGAGAAAATGGGGCTCTGTGATCTCAGGGCTAAAAACCCACCTCTATTGGGATGTGCTGTGGGGAGGGGAGCCCTAAAGGTGTTCCCAGGGACCCTTGGGCATCAGGTCAGTCTCTTTAAATCGAGAGTGATAGAAAATCCAGCCCTGCCTGGCTTAAGTCAAAAGGGAAGTTATCAGCTGAGAAAGCAGAAAAGTTCAGAGATGGCCTCAGGTGGGGCTGGATCCAGGACTTCAAAAATACCAGGAGGACCTGGTTTCTGTCCATTTCTGGGCTGGGCCTTCTACTGGGTTGGCGTCATTCTCTGCCAGCTCCCCACATGGTCATAAGACTGGTCTGGCCTCACGTCCTCTCGGGTCCAAACCCAAAGGGGTAAGTGAGAATCTTCCTGTTCCTACCGTGAAGGTCCTGAGAGTCACTTAGGTCACGTTTCTACCCCAAAGCAGCCCTGGGAGCTTGGGGATGCTAGGCTCAGGTTAGCTGGCCCTGGGTCACATCTCCTGGAGTCGGGGTGGAACCCCATATGGGAAGAAAAGGGAGAGGGCAGTACCGGAGACTTACAAGCAGTGTTACTAGGGGAAGGGGCCATGGGTGCAGGGGCGTCAGCCACAAATATTCACCCCTTCCTACAAGAGGGTGGGTGCCCTCGCTCCCCTGCAGTCCCTGGATACTTTCAAAGCCCTGAAGCATTGTACATACCTCTCTGCTGTCCCCCTGCCCCTCCTGCCCTCTGCCCACATCTCAGTCTTCCTGTTTCCAGGGTCACCTGTGCTTTTCTTCAGGTCTCAGAGAAACTCAAGCTGGCGGAGAAGACAGCCTTGGACATCGACAGGCTGCGGGATGGCTACCGGCCAGCAGCCAGGAGGGGGGCCATCCTGTTCTTCGTCCTGTCTGAGATGGCCCTGGTGAACTCCATGTACCAGTACTCCCTGATTGCCTTCTTAGAGGTCTTCAGGCTGTCACTGAAGAAGTCGCTGCCTGATTCCATCCTCATGAAACGCCTGAGGAACATCATGGACACGCTGACCTTCAGCATCTATAACCACGGCTGCACAGGTGAGCTCTCCCCACAGAGGAGGACATGTTAGTGTAGTTTGGTGTGCCAGACGTGGCTTTAAGGAAACGTGATCTGTGAAAATGGAAAGTTACCAAATAGCATTTTTTCTTTTTTCTTTCTTTCTTTCTTTTTCTTTTTTTTTTGAGATAGGGTCTTGCTCCATCACCCAGGCTGGAATGCAGTGGTGCGATCACGGCTCACTGCAACCTCCACCTCCCAGGCTCAGGTGATCCTCCTACCTCAGCCTCCAGAGTAGCTGGGACTAAAGGCACGCCACCACACCCAGCTAAGTTTTTGTATATTTTGTAGAGATGGGGTTTCACTATGTTGCCCAGGCTGGTCTCGAACTCCTGAGCTCAAACGATCCACCCACCTTGGCCTCCTGAAGTGCTGGGATTACGAGGTGTGAGCCATCATGCCCAGCTCCGAATGGCATTCTTGAGTCTGGCGATTCATGTTACAAGAGGAATGTTTAAAGCACTGAATTTTAAGATAGCAGCTTTATTGAGACACAATTTACATACCATAAATTCGTCCTTTAAAAATATACCATTCGGTGGTGATTCATAGCATATACATAGAGTTGTGCAGCTATCACTACTCTCTGGCTCCGGAACGTTTCCACCAGCCCCGAAATGAAATCCCATACCCATTAGCAGTCACCCCCTGGCCCCCCACTCCTAGTCCCTGGCAGTCACCGCTCTGCCTTCCATCTGTAAGGATTTACTTGCTCTGAACACTTCATGTCAATGGCATCATACGGTGTGTGACTTCATGACTGGTATCTTTCACTCCACTCCGTGACCTCACGGTTCATCCGTGTTGCTGCGTGTGTCAGCGCTTCATTCCTGCCTGTGGCTGAGTCACATTCCATGTATGGACAGACCGCACTGTGTTTATCCACCCGTCACCTGATGGGCATTTGGGTTGTTTCGCTTGTTTTGCTATTAAGGCAATGCTCCTGTGAACATTTGTGTGCAGGTTTTTGTGTGAATGTGTGTTTTTAATTCTCTTGGGGGTATATCTAGAAAGGGAACTGCTGGGTCATAGGGTAATTCTATGTCTAACTTTTGAGGAACTGCCAAACTGTTTTCCAAAGTGACTACAGTATATTTAAACCCCTAAATCATTGATTTTTTCAAAAGACTTTTTATTATGGAAAACATATGCAAAAGAGAATAGTGTCGTGATCGTCTGCACAGCCCTCACCTGGCAATGATTAGCTCTGGATTTGTTTATATGTAACACGGTTCCCCATCAACCCAGATTATGTTGAAAATTTGCTTCATATTCAGATCACTTATCTGTAAGTATGTTAGTTTGTATCTCTAAAACAGAGGTCAGCAAACTTTTTCTGGAAAGGGTCAGATAGTAAGTGTTTTAGGCTTTGAAGGCTAAGTGATTTCTGCCACAACTACTCACTTCTGCAGTTGTGTGCCACAGGCCCCACTGGGCATGGTGGCAATTGTAGCACAAAAGCAGCCATTGGATGATATGGAAGTGAATGGCCATGGCTGTGTTCCAATAAAACTTTTTTAGCAAAAACAGGCAGCAGGCTGGATTTGGCCCCTTGCTTGTGGTTTGCCCATCCCTGCTATAAAATAGAAGGATTCTATCTCAAAACATAGACATAAGGCCATTATCATATCCCCAAATTAATAATTCCTGAATATCATCATATTCAGGTTTTCAAATGTTCCCAATTGTCTTATATGTCATGTTTCACATTATTTTAAATCAGGACCTCATTAAGGTCTATACATTATAATTGGTTGTGTCACTTAATTTCTCTCTTTTCCCCCTTGCATTTATTTTTATTTTTGTTTGTTTATTTTTGGAGACAGGGTCTGGCTCTGATGCCCAGGCTAGGGTGCAATGGCACAATCACAGCTTACTGCAACCTCCACCTCCCAGGCTCAAGTGATCCTCTCACTTCAGCCTCCTCAGTAGCTGGGACTACAGGTGCATGCCACCATGCCTGGCTAATTTTTAAAAAAAATTTGTAGAGATGGTGGTCTCGCCATGTTGCCCAGGCTGATCTTGAACTCCTGGGCTTAAGGGATCCTCCTGCCTCGGCCTCCCAAAGTGCTGGGATTAGAAGCATAAGCCACCGTGTCTGCCCCACCCCTTGCATTTATCTGTGGAAGAAACCTACCTGATTGCTGGGTTGTTTCCCGTCGTCTGAATTTTGTGCTCGCCTCTCTGTAGTGTGTCATTGGAGGAACTCTCAAATGCCAATACATGTAGTTCTTTTCTCATGAGACTTTAGGATTCCCCAGTGAAGAGTCTTCAGCCTTTTCCTAGAGTATGTAATCCTGGCTGCCAGCCTTCGTGGAACCAAGTGAGAAAAGAAGGCTGTCGATTTCAGCATTCGTCGTGAAAACGTTCACTGAAAGCCATATTTTCAGTACGGTTTACCCTCAACTATGCCTGGTGTTCCCCCGTCCAGAGACCCTGCTTTATCTTTTCCAAAGTTCACTTGGGTGGGGCAGGCAGTTGCCTGGCAGCATGGAGTGAGAGGGGATCTGGGATCTGACGGCTTGTCAAACAAGCTGTCCACCCATCTTCCTGTTTTTAGCCCATATTCACCCACACTTCCAAAGGATCTGGTACTGCCAGTTCCTGAGCTTTTGATGTGTTCTGTGGTTTGCATCTCAGCTTTATCTCCTCCTCATGTGAGAGTCAACTTTCTCAGCTCTGCTAAATCAGTTATCACTTGTCCATCTGTCTGTAGCTTGCAGTTTTTTTTTTTTTTTTTTTTTTTTTTTTTGAGACAGAATGTCACTCTGTTGCCCAGGCTGGAGTGCAGTGGTGCGATCTTAGCTCACTGCAACCTTCGCCTCCTGGGTTCAAGTGATTCTCCTGCCTCAGCCTCCCAAGTAGCTGGGATTACAGGCACCTACCACCACACTCAGCTAATTTTTAGTATTTTTAGTAGAGACAGGGTTTTGCCATGTTGGCCAGGCTGGTCTCGAACTCTTGATCTCAAGTGATCTGCCCACCCCGGCCTCCCAAAGTGCTAGGATTACAGATGTGAGCCACCACACCTGGCCTAGCTTGCAAAATTTTATTGCTATTGTCTTTTCTCCAATTTTCTGGGAGCTTATACCTTTTTAAAAAACTAACCATTAGGCCAGGCGCGGTGGCTCACTCCTGTAATCCCAGCACTTTGGGCCGCCAGGGCGGGCGGATCATGAGGTCAAGAGATGGAGACCATCCTGGCCAACCTGGTGAAACCCCGTCTCTACTAAAAATACAAAAATTAGCTGGGCGTGTTGGCAGGCACCTGTAGTCCCAGCTACTGGGGGGGAGGCTGAGGCAGGAGAATGGCTTGAACCCGGGAGGCGGAGGTTGCAGTGAGCCGAGATCGCGCCACTGCACAAAAACAACAAACAAACAAAAAAACTCACCATTTCAGTTGGTTTTTGAAAAGGAGTTGGGATAAACTCAGAATGGCCATTTTTAACCAGGGGCCTGTAGAGTGACCTTTAGGAAGCAGAGGGTGGGTAGGACACACTCGTGTCCCTTTCCAGTCCTCTTCTGCTGAGACACTGTACTGACAGTGATATTTTCCATGCACCAGCGTTTGGTGTATTAGTTTGCCATGCCTGCCATAACAAAATACCACCGACTGGGTGGCTTAAGCAACAGAAATTTATTTTCTCATAGTTTTGGAGGTCAGAAGTCCAAAATCAAGGTTTTGGTAGGTTTCGTTTCTCCTTAGGATGCTCCCCTTGGCTTGTAGGAGGCTGTCTTCCTGCTCTGTCCACACAAGGTCTTTCTTCTCTGCGTGTGAATCCCTGGTGTCTCTGTGTGTCCAAATTTCCTCCTCTTATAAGGACACCAGTGAGGTTGGACTGGGCCCACCTTAATGGCCTCATTTGAACTTAATCACCTATTTAAAGACCCTGTCTCCAAATACTGTCATATTCTCAGGTACTGGAAGTTGGGGCTTCAACATAGGAAGTTTGGAGAAATATAATTTAGCCCTTAACAGTTGGGCAGAAAAGAGATTGTTTCTATAGGGCTCACTTAAGTAGCCAACCCTCCTAACACATATAAAGTAGAATTCAAATTACAAATTTTGACTTAAACAATTTTTTTTTCCAGGAACACATGTCTTCTGTTAAAAAGCAAAAAAGAAGAACGCTGGTATTTTGCATCCATTAATAAAGAGTCTGTTGATGGAGTGTGTGTCCTCTGCAATAGAGGTTGGCAACCCCCTAGCCAGCATCCAAATCTGGCCCACTGCCTGCTTTTGTAAATAAAGTTTTATTGGAACAGGGCCATATCCATTTGTATACATATTGTCTATGGTTGCTTTTGCACTACAATGGCGGAGTTGAGTGGTTATGACAGAGACCATCTAGCTTCCAAAGCCAAAAATATTTACTATCTGGCCCTTTGTAGAAAGTTTGCCAACACCTCTTCTAGACTCTAATGGACACAAATGCCATGGAGTCAGGCAAACAACCTGCCTTCAGTGGAGAGGGCTGCCCCTGCTGTACTGCCCCTCACTGGCTTTTCCTCTTCCCAGGTTGGTGTGATTTTACCTCCTGTAGACATGGCCATTTCCGTTACATACAGGAGCATGTCACTACAGACTGGGGCATGACCTAGGAACTGAGCTCATCTCTCTTGAACTTAGATATTCATGGACATTAGGTGCAAAGAGGGGTAAATGCAGCCATACAGTTCGAGTGTTTCATTTATCTTACGTTTAAGCACAGTGTGCATAAGAAACTCAGTTTTTTAAAAATGAATTTTAAGAAATCAATACTCATCTGATGTTTCCCTCCAGGGCTGTTTGAGAGGCACAAGCTACTCTTTTCTTTTAATATGACCATCAAGATAGAACAAGCAGAAGGGAGAGTCCCTCAAGAAGAACTAGATTTCTTTTTAAAAGGTAATGAATTTGCCTAGCTTCATTCCTCCCATCTCCTTGCCCACATGATACATGTATATAAGTTTGTCTGTTGAAACAAACAATAACAAAAATTCTCCTTAAAACTTGGCTTCCAACAGCACTGCATTTTTCACTATTCCAGTTGATCATTCCAGCCTCAGAAATGGCTCTGGTTGAAATCGGAGCAGCCAGCCTCTGTCTCGGGGCCATCCTGAGGCTGGAAGCTGGATGCTGCACTGAGCGCCTGGTTGGTGTCACTGGCGGTGACGAGGGCAAGCCTGGGCCACTTCCTGTTTCCAGTCTCCTTCTTGAAAAGTGGACTTTTCCCAAAAGTGGGAGAAGTCGAAGCAGAGTTGCTTGCTTTGTGTTAGTGGTACAATGGCTGCTTGCTTCTCTTCTGTTGTGATTAGGAAACATTTCCCTGGAGAAAAGCAAAAGAAAAAAGCCCTGCGCTTGGTTGTCTGACCAAGGATGGGAAGATATCATTCTTTTATCAGAAATGTTTTCAGACAACTTTGGGCAACTTCCTGATGATGTTGAGAATAATCAGACTGTCTGGCAGGAGGTGAGCCCACGTTCCCTTTCTCCTCCTCTCCTTCCCCACATGTCAACAATCTCCAAACCTCAACTGTGGCCCAACCCCTTAAGAGAAGACACTCCTTTGAGTAACCCATTCAGTGTGTAACTGATGCCCTGTAACTCCCTGATTGGAATTCTCCTTTGGCTAATTCAGCTAGTTGTATGGGAGATCCAACCATCTACCTGTCCGTCCGTCCATCCATCCATCCACCTACCCACCCACCCATCCATCCATTTACCCACCGACCCATTCATCTACCCATCTGCCCACCCACCCATCTACTCATCCATCCATCCATCCATCCATGCACCCACTCATCCATCCACCTACACACCCGTCCATCCAAGAAATAGTTGTTGGGCATCTGCCATGTACCATGTCCCTTGATGGGCACTGGGGACTCAGTGAATAAGACTCAGTTGCTCCTTTCTCAATGTCATAGCCTTTGGGGGTAGAGAATGACAGATCTGACCAGGTGGCCTTCAGTTAGTACACCTATGGATTCTCGTCCCTTTCCAGTGGCTTTTGCCACCTTCACACATAAATGGGGACCTATGTCATTTCTGAGTTGACGCACAATGAATATTCTTTGCTTTTCCCAGTGGTATGACCTGGATTCACTGGAGCAGTTTCCCGTCCCCTTGGGTTACGATAACAACATCACCCCTTTCCAGAAGTTGCTTATTTTGCGCTGTTTCCGTGTGGATCGGGTCTATCGGGCCGTGACTGACTATGTGACTGTAACAATGGGAGAGAAGTAAGTGTGTCGTTTTGTTGATTTGCCACTTTCCGTGGGGTGGAATCTCTAGCGTCCTCCCACCTTGGACTCAAAGAAAGCAGAGGCTGACCAGCTCCCGAGACAGCTGTCGCCACCCTGCTGTACAATATTCGATAGCCGATATTCTAGAATTCTTCAATATTCTAGAACAGTGCTAGTCATAAGAAATTCAGTGTGAGCCACATATGCAGTTTCGAAAGTTCTAGTAGCTACATTAGAAAAGAAATGGGCGCAATTAATTGTAATAACATTTTATTTAAATGAATATATTAAAATTATCATTTGAATGTATAATCAATATGAACATGATTGAGACATTTTACATGCTTTTTTCTGGTATTAAGTCTACAAAATCCTGTGTGAATTCACACTTACAGCACATCTCAATTGGGGCTAGCCACATTTTAAGTGCTGTGCCTCACGGCCATCGCACTGGACAATGTAGCTCTAGCATGGGGTACGAAGCCAGGCGGAGCGTGTGGGGCTGCAGCTCAGATGTGCCCTTGTAGCCAGCAGGCCATGGCAGTGAGTGATGAGGCTGGGTGGGGTCCTGGTCCCTGGGCAGCTGCCCTTAGCTCCTGCTGACTGATACCAGGTGCCATTGGGAACCCACAGTGGCTGGATCCTCTGACTCTGAAAGAAGCTAGGACTTCAGATTTTTTCCTGAAATATCCCAATATCTTTGTGTTTGCAATGAATTTTAAAACGCACATCTGGGTCAGGTGCGGTGGCTCACACCTGTAATCCCAGCACTTCAGGAAGCTGATGTGGGAGGATCGCTTGAGGCCAGGAGTTCGAGACCCAGCCTGGGCAACATAGTGAGATACTGCCTCTAAAAAATAAAAAATAAAAAAGAATTAGCCAGGCGTGGTGGTGCACACCTGTAGTCAAGCTACTAAGGAAGCTGAGGTGGGAGGATTGCTTGAGCCCAAGAGTTTGAGGCTGCAGTGAGCTGTGATAGTACCACTGTACTCCAGCCTGGGCAACAGAGTGAGATTATATATTTCAATTTAAAAAAAAAAAAAAAAAAGAAAAAGAAAAAACCCACACACAAAACACAAAACTCAAAACTCAAGATGTGGACCATTCAGGACACGCCTGTGGAACCTCAGGGTTTTGTGCCATGGGCAGGCCCACCTAGAGGGCAAGCTGAGGTGCCCAGCTCAGCACAAACCAACTGAATCGAGTGTGAGGGGGTACAGAGAAGTCCCTGCCACTCAGGAGTTCCCCATCAGGGTGGGAGACGTGCATAGAAACTAGAATCTAAAACAGGGAAGACTGCAACGAGCTATCCCAGAGGAGTGGTCAGAAGGTTCTGGACACCGGAGGAGGCAGCGCTGATCAGACAGACCAGCCCCTGGTCTGGAGCTGTCCTCGCGGGAGAGTTTTCTGACTGTGTTTCTTTCACCAGGTATGTGCAGCCCCCAATGATCAGCTTTGAAGCTATTTTTGAGCAGAGCACTCCACATTCGCCCATTGTGTTTATCCTGAGTCCTGGCTCCGACCCTGCCACTGATCTTATGAAATTAGCAGAGCGAAGTGGTTTTGGAGGAAATCGCCTCAAATTCCTTGCAATGGGTCAAGGTCAAGAAAAGGTAATTTGTGGCTGAAAGGAACAAGCTCTACGTTTAGGGGAGGTCCCTGGTGTCTGCTAAGAAGGAGCTAACCTGGGTTTAAGCTGAGTGCCACGCCACAAATCAGTTGGATGCATTTCCGAGCTAAGAAGCAGTAATGAAACACTGGGAAGATGACAATAATAGTTATGATTTCACAACCTCATGTTGTGATCATGGTGCTGTGCTGTTTTCTTTTTTTTTCCTTTTTCTTTTCTTTTTGAGACAGGGTCTCACTCTGTCACCCAGGCTGGAGTGCAGTGGTGCGAACATAGCTCACTGCAGCCTCGACCTCCTGATTGTGAAGTGATCGTCCTGCCTCAGCCTCCCCAGTAGCAGCTGAGACTACAGGCATGCGTCACCATGCCTGGCTAATTTTTTTGGTATTTTCTGTAGAGAAAAATACAAACACGTCACCATGTTGCCCTGGCTGGTCTTGAACTCCTGGGCTCAAGCGATCCTTCCACTTCGGCCTCCCAAAGTGTTGGGATCACAGGCATGAGACACGATGCTCAGGCTGTGCTGTTTTCAAAGCCCTTTCACACACAGTCCTTACCTTCCTTAGTCCCTGAACAGCCTCATTGTGGATCAGGATTATTATGGCCCCAATTGCATGGCCAAGGGAGTGGGTGGAGAGAGGCTGAGCCCAGGACCATTCAGGACAGAACTGTGGTGCAAATCCTCCTACCTTTCTGAGCCAGTGAGCTTTCTTTGCTGAGGTCTTGCCTCTCTGCATCACAGTGCTCCCTGCTAGAACTTGCTACACAAGTTCAGTACAATGTGGGACAAAGCTTGCAGGAAAAGTCTGTGCGTCAGTAAGTGTGATGGTTGCAGGCATGCGTGTTGGGGTCAGAGGGAGCTGACTGCCAGTCCTGGCTTTGCTATGAACTGTGAGGCTTTGGGTAAGCCCCTCTACTGCTGAAAGCCCCTGGGTGAGATGAGGATGGCAATACCCATGCTGGATGGCCCAGGAGGCAAGCCCTGGGCACCAGCAAGGCGGGCCAGCTCTCTCAACCACAACACTGAAATAAGCTATTGTAACGCCAGCACTCATGTGTTTTAAGCCATTTCAGAAAGCAAGGCTTGATTTGGGTGTTTAGCTTGTTTGTGCTTTGAATTACATTTGGGAGGGGACATGGTGATTGTTTTCCAGGCCTAGGGCCCTGAAGATCTTACAGTGGCCAGGACAGTCCCGACTTCCTGGTGGGCTTTAGCTGGTCTCTTGCAGCCCTGCTCAGGAGTCCTCAGGGGACAGGAGCGACTGTGTGGGAGGAGCTGGGACTTCCAGGGCCAGGGAGGCAGATGAGTGCAAAATGCTCACCCATCTTCCAGGCTGGGTGTGACCAGCTCAGTGCACCCACGGGGCCCATGGGGTTTCTCAAAGATGGTTTATTTGAAGGCTCCACCTGTAGCTCCTGGATCCTCGGCTTGCTTTTGGCTTCTGCTGGAGCTGCCATCGCCCTTCTGTGGGTGTGGAGTGGGTCTCTGGAGAGCACGGGGTTGGGTTTGGATGCCAACCCCTCTCCTCTTCCCTCTCCCCCGGCGCAGGTGGCCCTGCAGCTGCTGGAGACGGCGGTGGCTCGGGGGCAGTGGCTGATGCTGCAGAACTGCCACCTCCTGGTCAAGTGGCTGAAAGATCTGGAGAAGTCCCTGGAGAGGATCACCAAGCCCCACCCAGACTTCCGCCTGTGGCTCACCACGGACCCCACCAAGGGCTTCCCCATTGGGATTCTGCAGAAGTCCCTAAAGGTCTGGCTTCAGGATGGACATCAACATGCCAGCACGCAGCTTCTCAGAACACCTGCATGCTGCTCTGGGGCCGGGGTGTGCCTTTGTCTGTGTAGAAATAAACCTTAGGCTGCAGGTGAAACCTTGCGGTTGAAACCCTTCTCAATCCCACCTCTCTCTTTAGAGGGAGCCGCTGTCCTGGGTTGGGTGTTTGTGACTCCCAGGCCTATCTCTACCAATTCTGCATGTGTCCCTAACAATATCTACGCTACTTTTCATAAACTTCACGGCCCCCCCCCCCACACACAGCCTGCAGTTCGCTAGTGCTGACTGCAGGAGTTTCGCGTGGTTTACATGCCCCATTTAATTTATTCTCCGGGAAATTCTTTTGGAAAGGTTTTGTCATTCTCTGTCTCTCTCTCTCTCTCTGGGGAGGTGGAGGGAAGACTTTACTTTCATTTTATATATAGTAAAGGATCTCATGGTTCAGAGGAAGGTCAAAGACTCTTGACCCTTGACCCTGAGAGCCAGAACATCTAGTCCTTTAACTTCTCAGCCTGGGCCCTGGACAAGAGACTTTAGCTATTGGAGGTCTCAGACAGATGGCTCCGTAGAGAGGAAGGAAAGCGCAGTGCCTGCATTGTGCACACTCTTCCAAGCTTGTGGGCCTGCGGTCTCCATCACTGTGTGTTTTCTTCTCTTCTGAAGGTTGTCACCGAGCCACCCAATGGGCTGAAACTCAACATGAGGGCAACTTACTTCAAGATCTCTCACGAAATGCTGGACCAGTGCCCGCACCCTGCCTTCAAGCCGCTGGTCTACGTGCTGGCGTTCTTTCATGCTGTGGTGCAGGAGAGAAGGAAGTTTGGGAAGATTGGCTGGAACGTGTACTATGACTTCAATGAGTCTGACTTCCAGGTGACAGTGGCTGCTTCTCCTTGGAAATGGCTTCCTTAGGCGGCCCACTTCCTCCCGACTTTCCTCCGGGTTCAACCACAGCAGGGTTGCACCGTTCCCAGCAGCCTTTTCAGAAAAGTATCAGAATGTGAACAGCTTGGTGGGTTTCAGTATAACTGAGCGTGTTCTCTTCTTTCAAGGTCTGCATGGAAATTCTGAACACGTACTTAACGAAAGCCTTCCAGCAACGGGACCCAAGGATCCCGTGGGGCAGCCTCAAGTACCTAATTGGAGAGGTAGGGGTGACCGGGGATCCTTCCGCAGGTGCCTCTGGGGCTACAGAGCTGTGGCCTCGTGCCCCTATTTTCCTCTGAGCCCTCAGAACCAGCCTCTTCTGCCCCTGTGTTCCCCTTGGGTTTCTGTGACAATTCTCTCTGCTCTCACCTGGTTGTTCTTTGTCCTAAGTGAGCTCTGTTCACATGGAGGTTCCCTGAGCTGGATCCATGGCTGGGGATCCAGGCAAGGCATCCTCTAGCCCCTTGCCTCAGCTGTTGCTGTATACAGAGCTCACAGGAAGCATCCCCGGTGGTCTGCACACGGCTCAGGCAGTGACATCAATTCCAAAGACAGAAGCAGCTGCTGGCTTCTTCAGCTGTTTGTTTGATGTGTTTGGGGGACTTTGCCTGCTGCACAGGAGCTCCCAACACTTCCTGAGGGCTTCTTACTGCTTTGGGCCCTATCCCTTGGGAAGCCAGCAAAGCCACAGATCAATTGTGTGAACAGTGGCCCGAAAGGTTATGCAAGTCAACAGGTTCAAGCCTTGCAGCAGCCAGGCTGCTGGAGTCTCTTGACCCTGGGTGAGCCTCTGGCCCCGGGCCCCCAGGGTGCACACAGTAGGTTCTGAGCTCCTGGCTGGCTCTCAGGCCCTCTAATTTCAGGTCATGTATGGAGGACGGGCCATCGACAGCTTTGATCGCCGCATCCTGACCATCTACATGGATGAGTACCTGGGGGACTTCATTTTTGATACTTTCCAGCCATTCCACTTCTTCCGGAACAAGGAAGTGGACTACAAAATCCCTGTTGGTGATGAAAAGGAGAAATTTGTTGGTGAGATTTCTCAGACATGAAAAGATGTTTTCAAGGCTTTTTCTAAGGGAGACCATACATTTCAACCGGCTCCTCTCCTGGTGGGGGCTCCTCGGCTGGTCAGGTGTGGTCTGTTAAGCCTGTTAGGTGGCTCGGCAGACGCTTCCTGGCTGCAGAGCTGACTGATAGAGTTCAGATTTCCCATCCTGGAATGATGGTAAATAAATCAGGTTCCACCTGGAAGGGCAGAATGGCCACAGTGAAGCTCACTGAGCCATTTTCGTAAAAGATGAACATACGGCTGGACTGGGTGTGGTAGTGTAGAATTTTTACATTAAAAACATGTCATTGGCTGGTCATGGTGGCTCGCACCTGTAATCCCTTCTTTGGAAGGCCAAGAAGGGCAGATCGCTTGAGCCCAGAAGTTCAAGACCAGCCTGGGCAACCAAGCAAGATCCCATCTCTACAAAAAATAAACAAAAAATCAAAACAAAAAAACAAAAAACAAAAATATTAGCTGAGTGTGGTGGTGAATACCTGTAGTACCAGCTACTTGGGAGGCTGAGATGGGAGAAGAGCTTGAGCCCAGGAGGTCGAGGCTGTAGTGATCAATGACCATGTCAGTGCACTTCAGCCTGGGTGACTAAGACCCTGTCTCAAAAAAAAAAAAAGTCACCCTCTAAACAGTGGAAATTAGTCTTGCATGTCTTGGAGACTTTGAGGCTGTGGGCCCTGAGAAAGCACAGGTGGCTGGACAGTGCCACCTCCGTTGTTCTCTGTGATTGCAGAAGCCATCGAGGCCCTCCCGCTTGCCAACACGCCAGAAGTGTTTGGTCTCCACCCCAACGCTGAGATTGGCTATTACACGCAGGCGGCTCGAGACATGTGGGCTCACCTGCTGGAGCTGCAGCCTCAGACAGGTAAACTCTACTCAGGAGGACTTCATTAGTTTGATTGGGGTTTTACGATTGCTTCTTGTAGCCCTCCCACGTTGCTGATGCCTTTCCCAGAACTGGAAGGCTCAGGAGGCTCCGGTTCTGCACGTGGATGCCTTGCTTTCTCTGAAAAGTGTCCTGGTTTTAGGGGAATCCAGCAGTGGTATCAGCCGCGATGATTATATTGGCCAAGTGGCCAAAGAAATAGAAAACAAGATGCCCAAAGTCTTTGACTTGGACCAGGTGAGGAAGCGCCTCGGAACAGGACTCTCCCCCACTTCGGTGGTGCTCCTGCAGGAACTGGAACGCTTCAACAAGCTTGTGGTCCGGATGACGAAGTCTCTGGCTGAACTTCAAAGGGTGAGCCTGTCTCTCATGTGCAGATTACTGCCTAGATACGTGGCACCTGGGGTTCTGATAGAGTCCTGCCCGATTGCTCTTGATTCTAAATAGGCCTTGGCTGGAGAAGTTGGAATGAGCAATGAGTTAGATGATGTGGCCAGGTCTCTTTTTATCGGGCATATCCCTAATATCTGGAGAAGGCTTGCTCCTGACACCTTAAAGTCCCTTGGAAACTGGATGGTCTACTTCCTGCGGCGGTTCAGCCAGTACATGTTGTGGGTAAGTGGCACGTCACCGCCTCCTCTCTGCCGATTCAGGTGTCAGCCTAGACTCCTCAAACCACCTCCCAATCCCCTCTTTCCATTGCCCAGCAGTAACCTCTGTTAAAGTTTATTGGGTGCTCTGGAAATGGTCTGAGATTCTTACAAGCCTATCTGTATCTTTTGTTTTTCCTTTTCTTTTGAAGACTTTGAAGCATACTCTTACATACCCGATTATTTTATCTAAGTGTATATCTTGGCACTTGTTCCATATTAGTACACAGCTAGCTCGTTCTTTTTTAGAGTATGCCATTGTACAAATGTTTCATATCCTTTCTCCTCCTTCTGTATCCTAAAAATATGGTAACTGCCTACATTTCGGTGGTTACCATTTTTTTTTTTTTTTTGCTAATACAAATAACATTCTGGTGCACATGTATATGAATATGCATAGGGGTATATTCCATGGGTAAATTCTGACAGTGGAAGAGTTGGATCAAAGAGCTTGTGCATTTTAAATTTTGATAGCTCTTGTTGGATGGTTCTTGGAAAGGCTGAAACCACAGTCTATGAGAGTGCTTCTTTCCTCACTCCGCTGCAATGCTGCGTTCTTAACATTTTGGATCACTGTCTCCCTGATAGGTGAAAATAATATCTCATTGTTTTGCATGTCTTTAATTATGGTGAGTCTGAGCGTATTTTGCATGCTTTACAGACATTTTGTGTTTGTTTTTCTGTGAATTGTCCTTTTGTATCTGGATTTCATTTTTAGTGAGGTCTCCATCTTTCTCATTGATGTTTAAGAGCTCTTTGCAAATCAAAGAAATTAGCCCTTGGTCTGCCAGTGTTGCAGGTATTTCTCCAAGCTTGTCATAAGTCTTGACTTTGCTTACGGTATTTTTTCCACAGAAAAGCTTTACATTTTTCCGTAGTCAAACCTACAAGGCTTTTCTTTTTTATCCTGGGCTTTGTATTTCCTACTCCACGATATGAAAGCATTCATTGGAGATGTGGCCCAGTACTTTTGTGGTTTTATTTATTTTTATATCTAAATCTTTGATCTACCTGGAATGTGGCAGTCCAGATTGTTTTTCTCAGACAGGCGGCCAGTTGTGCCAACGCCATCTTTTGCCACTTAGGTGAAATATGTCTTTTATCATAAACTAAACTTCCAGGCCAGCTTTGACCTGGCATTGGATGGCAGCCCCAGGCTCCCAGCACTTGTCCTCTCTTCTCTCCAGGTGACCGAGAGCGAGCCCAGCGTGATGTGGCTCTCGGGGCTGCACATCCCTGAGTCCTACCTCACGGCGCTGGTGCAGGCCACCTGCCGGAAGAACGGCTGGCCACTGGACCGCTCCACCTTGTTCACACAAGTGACCAAGTTCCAGGATGCAGATGAAGTGAATGAGCGGGCGGGACAAGGTACCGTCAGCTCGTTAGGGATCCACAGCCTCTCACTTAGGATTTCTCTCCCTGAACCACCTCCAACTCAAAGGGACAGGCATAGCGTGGGCCTAAATGGGCCAGGCCATGTTTGAAAGCCAGCCTGCTGCAAATATTTCCTGTGTCTCTGCACTGCCCATGTCTTAACACCTCTGAGGGTGGATACGGAAGTTTCTCTTCCACTTTCTCCGTTGAGACCTGGGGTCTATGGCAGGGGAGACCTGAACCATGTTCACTCTGCTAGCTCATGGCAAGTGGGCTCCTAGGTCAGAATTAGCTCTTGCAAAAACCATCAGGTGGCTTTCTTGTAACCCCTGACGGGGCCAGGGGCATGGGAGCCACAGAGCAGCATGGACTAACTTGGTTGGAACTCTTTGATTATGCCAGAACTTCAGGTCCCTTAGACATTGGTTACTGACTGTGCAAATGAGAGCTGGAAACTGCTGTTTCCCCGGGTCCATGTTGTCTTAGAGTTCTTTTAACTGCAAGGAACAAAAGCTCTTTTGAGATGGCTTAAGGACTGGGGACTTACGGTAAAGATGCAGGGACTCTCCAGGTCTCAGTGGCAGGGGAGGTGGCAGGTGTCCGGGCCACCACTCTCTCTGGGGCCACAGGAGTGTGTTCCTCTCTTTGCACATCTGCTGGGTCCTCCTCCCCGGAGACCACTTTCTCTGTGAGGCTTCGACTTCCTGCTCCCCAGCCACTTCGGCTCACAGGGTAGCTGGGGTTGCCATGGTGCCCATTCTGACTCTGGGACCATGCATCTTTCTAGCCTGGGGGCCCAGGGTGGTCTAAGTCCGTGGGCCTTGATGCCCCAGGAATGAGGATTCCTGGGGGAGAGGCCACCGCCCCACACCCATTTCTCTGGGCCATGGGGCAGGGCCACAGGGTCTCCTGTCTGGGCTGCTCCTCCACAGAGGGAAGGTGGGCAGGACAGAAATGCTGGAGAAGGGCCTGGGCTGTCCCCAATGCGCTGGGGAGGAGGCCAGCCAGTGGCCTGTGTGTCGCTGTGTGTGCGCCTGATAGAGCCACTCCGTGGCAGGCTGTGCATGCTCCAGTTGTATCCAGTCTCTGCCTTGTGTCCCTAGGATGCTTTGTCTCAGGACTGTACCTGGAAGGTGCTGACTGGGATATAGAAAAAGGATGTCTTATCAAGAGCAAACCCAAGGTGCTGGTTGTGGACCTGCCGATCCTGAAGATCATCCCCATTGAAGCCCATCGCCTCAAGCTGCAGGTGAAGGTCCCAGCCCCTCCTCTCTGACACCAGGGCCCTTCCTCTTCTGACTGTAGTTATGGCTGAGGTGGTTTCCAACAGTCCTACTTTTTAAAACAGGGGTGCCTAAGCTTTATGGGCTGGGGAGAGTCTTGGAGCCGTGATAAAAGCTACGGATAGCTGCTTCCTGGAAAAGGCGCGGCTGTATGTGTGTGTGGATGCCGGTCCTTCCAGAGGTGTCAGGCTCAAGCTGTGATCCTGTGGTCTAGACTAACCAAGGGGAGACTCCCTCCCTTCTTGCAAAATGCTGCAGACATTGCCTGAGTCATAAAGTGGTTCCCGCTGGTGTGGACAGCAGATGTCTTCTGCTCTGCCTGGGCCAGGACCCACTTTTAACCAGGGTGTCAGTGTGAAGCCAGGTCCCCGTGAAGCTGGCGGAGGGTGGCCCTGAGCAGCCCCAGCCTTGTGCGTGTTCTCAGGTGCAGTCTTGCACAGGGGCCCCTGCCTGTCAAGACTTACACTGCACCTCTGCCTTTATCCCTCTGCACCCTCTCTCCGTGGGGGCATCTCACCTGCCTTTCCCTTGCAGAATACTTTCCGGACCCCCGTCTACACCACCTCCATGAGAAGGAACGCCATGGGAGTCGGCTTGGTTTTTGAAGCTGATCTCTTTACCACGAGGCACATTTCTCACTGGGTGCTGCAAGGAGTATGCCTCACCCTGAATTCTGATTAACCTTTGGGTGAAGAAAACTGCTTAATGAATTCGGAGCCTGGGGTTGTCAGAGTGATCGGGTCTGCTGTCATTTCTTGGGGCCTCTCAAGAGGCAGGAGGGGGACTGACACTGATTTTTCATTTGAAATCAGCCACTTAAATCTCTTTCCATACAAATTAACCTGAATGGTTTTGTTTTTAATACTACTTTTTAAAAGGAATTTATATAATCAAAAAGTAAATATTGGAGAGTATTTTAAGATGTGTGGAGTTTTCTTTTCCTTCTCAGAGAAAACACTTGATTAGGCAAAAGTGCCTGGCATACATAGCATTGGCACAAGTGAGAATCCTAATGTAATTTCCAAAGGTGTGTTTTCGATGATCCAGGTCTGTTTCAGCAGATGCTCCTTTTTGGCAAGAAGGGCTGATGATGTCGGGCACAGAGCAGAAGTGACCAGTCACCTGGAGCCACTTCTCCCCCTTCCAGAACTCTCTGGCCCTAGCTTCTTTGGCTCTGACCTGCTACGGCGACTGTGAAGTTGTTGAGCTTAGTGTTTAGTTCCTGCATGAGCTTCTACCCCCAGCCTGCCTGGGTCTGTGTGGGGTCAGGTAAGGACACAGAACCTCCAGGACCAGTGGTCACTGGGCACCCCTTCCCTCTGTGCACCATGAGGCTGGCCTGGAGCCCTGGCTGGCCACCTGGAGGTGAGGGGTGGCTTCACTCCATGAGGGAGGAGAGGGGCTAGCACGGGCAGCACAGTGGGCAGGGGCCATCAGAGGCAAAAGCAGCTTCCCACAGAAGCTCAGGAGCGCAGCACATTCTAAGGACTAGCTCTGGGCCGGGAGGAGGCCGGAGTCGCTTCTGGGACCTGTGATTGCTCTCCCTCCTGCAGTCTCCTAGCCCTCCTTCAGGTGTTTGTTTAATAAAAGACACAAAACAGAAGGAAGGCAGGTTTAGAAAATAAAGTTTGTTGGGATCTTAAACATTTTGGATAAAACTAACAAAAAAATATGAACACACATTCAGGTTGTGGTGCTATGAGGAGTAGCGTCATCTTATTTAGTTCCTTGAGATACACGCACGGCTGCTCGGTGATCGGTGCCGCCCTGGGAAAGGTTGGTCAGGAGGTGACAGGGGTCTCCAGGAGGAGCTCGGGAGGTGACAAGGGTCTCCAGGAGGGAGCAGGGGCTGCTCGGCCAGGCTGCCCTGGAGCTTGAGGATAAGGTCAAGGTTGGTATGTGTTGCTCCGACTTGAGAATGAATTAGGTGTGTGACTGTGTGGCATCGTGAACATCAGTAGTGACGCAGCCGTGGCCTGGGCTTTGCCTGCAGCGCACTTAGGTTACACGGAGCGGGATCAGAAGCAAGCGATTCGGCACACAGGCGTTTGGCCACAGCAATTAGGAAATACATATTCTGCGGCAGGGACACGATCATATTTTGGTGTGAAGAAGAGGGCAAGAGAAGCAGAAGGAGAATGGGTCGGTAGGTGTGAAAAGTGTTTGGCATGCATGGGATTAAACAGAAAAGGTGTGGCTGAGATTTCCCAGTGGTGCTCACAGTGCATGGACAGCGCGGGGTGGGGCACGGCGGGCTTCACACAGTTCTGTCCGTCCCTGAGTGCTTCCTCACCACCTTGCCTCCGTTCACCTGGTCGACCGCCAGGGTCTTCACCTCGGGCTGGGCCTGCGGCGGGGTGGCGTGGTGGATCCGATGTGCCACCCCGACGTGGGCCTTGTGCGGCTTTTCGCGGGCCGGGCTGTGCTGCTCGCCGCTTCGGTCGGAGGCGATGGGGGGGATGACGAGGGGCCTCTCTTTGATGAGGTGGACCTCGGCGGACTCCCTAGCCAGCAGAAATGGGGTGGGGTCGGGCATAGCATCCACTGGTTCCCGCAAAAGGAGTTTCCTGCTCTCTGCCCCGAATCTGTAGACCTCTTCAAATTCCGGGTGCAAGGGGGCTGAGAGGCTCTTTTTCATGCGGCGGCGAGGCGTTTCGGGTAGCTTGTCTTTGGGGGGCGCTGGCTTGTAGCTGGCCAGCACGGGGCTCCCTGACGGGCTGGCATCTGAGGTCCCGCTGGAGCTCATGAGCTTCTTCTTGGCGGCGTGCAGCTGGGAGGTCAGGTAGGCGATGGTGCTGGCCCGCTGCTCCAGCTCGCTAGACAGCAGGGTCAGCTTGTGACTCTTGGCCTTCAGCTCCTCCAGGTACTTCTTCTCTCGCTCCTTGATGGTGTTCTCCAGCACTGTGATCATCGCGTTTTTCTGCTCCAGTTCTTTCAACAACTCAGCATTTTCGTTCTCTTTCACTTTCAGTTGGGCTTCCAGCTCTTCACATCTTTTCTTTAATTCACTGCTTTTAGAAGTCCCGTCTCCTACAAGAATAAGCCGAGGAAGCAGGTGAAGAACTCATTAGACTGAGGCCGAGTGGTGAGGCCTATGGGGCAGGCGGACCTGTCTGGTGGGGGCCCTGTCTAGGCTGTGGGGGCCATGCAGAAGGCAGGGCTGTGGGGGCTCTGGAAAGACCCCTCCCCTCCCCGAGGTGGGGAGATCGGGGCATCTCAGAGGCCCTTTCCGGCTCTTAGTTCTCTGGCCTACTGCATAAAAGAATGTCTCTGAACCTTAAAGATGCTGAACTTAAAACAGGCAATTGCAGAGTATCAGACCTCAGCAAACACTTAGGATTCAACTGGCCGCAAATCCCTCTGTCTGCTCAGATGGCATTTATGGAATGCCTGCTACATTCAAAGTACTGTTTTGAAACTCAAATGTAAAAAGAATTATCCATGTCTATTGAATTAAAATTCTGATGTTTAGAGGAGAAGAGGTGTGGGGCTGTCACCTTTGCTCTGCCGCTGGCCGCCTCTCTCACCCCCCTACCCCCGTCTCTCTCACACACACACACACACAGACTCTTTCCCACTTCCTGCTCAGAGAGTGAGCTGTCTCGCCTCTGTGGCTCTTACCCTTGGTCCCTCCCTGCCCCTGCCCTAACACTTCGGGCCTCTGCCTCCTTTTGCTGTCCCTGGGTGCCTGCCCTCACCCAGTCCTTCAGCAAACACCAGCCACCTCCTTCTCCTGCTCTTCTGGTGACCTGCAGTCCCTGGTCACCTCACATAGCACCCTTGGCTCTAAACCCTGGGTCACCATCCTACTCCTCCTAACGCTGGCTGGCTGGCCATCCTCCTTGCCTGGCCCCTGGGAAGTTCTTTCTAGACTCTTCCTTGCTGGTCTGGAATTCAACTTGAGCATCAGCTCCCGATTCAGTGTCTCCTGAGCACCACTTCTCCAAGTGAGTGTCCGTCAGACACACCCTCAAGTCCAGATAGCTGCTCTGCTTCCCACATCTTGACTCTCCCAGGGAAACTGGATGCAGTCGCCATCCCTGGCCTCCCCTCCCTGACTGTGCCTTTCTGCTGGCTGCTCAGTGCTGCCCCCTCCCTGCTCCTCCAGCCGGCCTTGGTCCCACCTCCTCTCTGGTCTTCGTTTCAGCCCATCCTGTATTTAGGAAGCTTGGTCACCCCCTAAATATTCTTGTCCTCTGTTCAAAATGGTTCCTCACTGCCTAATAAAACCCAAACTGCCAGATGCCTTCCAGTTCCTCAATCTGTCCTGAATGTTATCTGCTCCCACATAAATCAAAGCTTCCATCACTCTCCCCAAGCCACCACCTCTTGTTCTGTCTCTATTGTACCCTCTGTCCTTGCCCTAACTCCAGACCTGCACGCCCAGTTTCCCTGTACCAACTCCACCACCCAGGGCCTGCCTAGGCACTGGACGCCACTGGACGTCTTTCCCGGGCTTCTGTCTGTCTTGCTTTGAATTTTCCCACCTGCCTGAGCTAGCAGCAGCTCTGCAGCATGTCCCGCCGCCAGACTCTGAGCTTTTGAGGGCCCACAGCTGACTGGACTGGTCTTGTGCAGGACACTTGCATGTTACAAGCTCGCTGCAGGTGATGGGCGCTCCTCGACTTAGCATGGGGTCATGTCCCGAAAAATCCAATGTAAGTTGAAAATACCGTAAGTCAAAAGTGTGTTTTCGATATTTTCAGCTTACCATGGGTTTATCTGGACATATCCATGGTAAGTCGAGGAGTGTACTGAATGGGTATTGCCCCATGCAGTTGAAAAATTTTAAGTTGAACCATTGCAAGTTTCTAGTTTTAAAAACCATGTGTCTGTGTGTGTATGTGCAGGTATAATGTCAGCAAATGACCTCCCTAAAAAGGATGCATGCAGTACTACCTTTCATGAGGTTTCTTCTTTTGCCAAAAGGAAAATAGATCCTAAAACACAGTTTCAGAGGTAGAGAGAGGGACAGAGACACACACACGACTCTGTAGACACTGTAAGACCCAGGAGCCCAGCCACCTGGGCTGAACCCCTGCAACCTGAAATGCTGACCTGGGCACGGCATTGGGCCTGGTACCCGCTGTCCTTCCCCCAGGGCCTGTGGGACAACAACCCATGCCTGTCGCAGGGCCTTTGCTTTCAGCCCACACTCGGGTGGACAGTGGGCCTTGGGCTCCTTCCGAGGAAGGGCTGCAACCTCAGACCTTCAACCACATCCCTGGCCTGCTGTGAGCATCCTGGGATTTTTCTTCCCCCAGGCAGTGCTGCAAAAGGCTGATGGACGTTTGGAACATTCAGGAACAAGGCTGTCCCTGGGCTTTGCTCATGTCCTGTGAGGGGCAGCCCACAAAGGCAGAGGGCCCTGGTGGTCGGACTGGGGACTTGGATTTGTGGGGCACCTGTCAGATGAAGATGCAGGTTCAGAGATGTCAAAGAACCTGCCCAAGGCCACACAGCCCCTCCGAGTCAGAGCAGAGGCCCAAATCTGGGGCTCATTAAGCATCACTCTGGTTCTTTTCGCCACAGCATCCTGAGAGAAGCTCCTCCTGGATAGACATCCTCCTCATCATCCTTCCTTGAGAGTCATCTAGCTGTGCTGCCTCCTCCTCCAGGGTGCAGCCTTGGCTCCGGGCTGATGTTTACCGGCCCCGACTTGAGTGGGCCGTCCTGTGGGAAGGAGCTGGTACGACTGCTCCTCCATCCCCAGCTCTGGAGAGCTGCTTCAGTGACTGTCCTTCCCAGGAATCAGCACCTCCTGTTTTGCCAATTTCTTGCTCTTTATAGAAAGCTCCACTCCACCTCCTCCTCTGTACGTACCCCCTTTCTGGAAATTTCAGTCTTCCCATGAAAGCTTGGTGCACACTGAGCTGACAGCAGCCAACTGCTGCTGGTCTCCAAACGCTGCACTGCTGAGCCTGCCCGAGCGTCAGGGCACTGCAACGCTTCTAAACCTGCGCACTCCCTGGGCCCGCCCAGACTTCTGGGGTCACAGCCCCCAGGGGAGGGAAGCCAAGAGTCTATGCTGTACCCTGGGTCCCGAAACTGCTTGGAATTGGGCAGTTTTGGGTGCACTAATGTAAAACAATGATTTTCACCACTGGGAGGGGAGACGCCCCGACTGGAACCACCTGAGAGGCTTTTGAAACTGCCTCCCCTAAGACACAGCCCTTGCTGTGAGACCCTGCTGCTGCTGGGAGTACTACATCAGGTGGGTGGGTGGGTGGGCAGGTGGCCTTGGGACCTCAGGTTGAGAACCGTGACTGGAGAGGCCACAGGGCAAAACTATGCTGCTTCAGATTAGCCTGGGCCAGGAGAGGACAGGGAGCGAGGACGCCCTGGCTTCCATGACACGGGTAGCTCCTTTCCCAAGGCTTCAGTGCTGGCAGGTGTGGACGCTGGAGGTCCCTAGTGTCAGGCTGAAATCCTGTTCCTCTGCATTCCCACAGGCCCAGCTCCCAGTCCCAGGGCTTCGGGGGAGGTCCCTGGTATCCCTCCACAGGGAGACTTCTGAGGACAGGCTCCCATTCCACCACCCCAAGAAGCCCACGGCGCCTTCCCTACCACACGCAGACAAAAAGATGTCTGGGCTCCTGGGTGGCGCACTCAGGAGGCTGTAATATGAGCAATGCAAATGGAAAAAAATCAGTGCTCGGTAATCCACTAAGGCTTGGTGGAAATGGTCTGTGTCTTTTACAAGGAACTGGACACTCTCATGAATAGTAACTGCCATTGTGAGGCCTGTTTAGAAAAAGGCATTGTGGGGAATGGAGAAGTTCTTCAAAGTTTCTTGAAACCATAAAGAGCTTGTCATTTCCTTGCTCTATGTATATCTCTATATATGTTCCAGTGTAGCTGCTCCGCCTTGCCCCGGCACGCCTGCGCAGGGCTGAGCGAGCCCTGGACCATAGTGCATGCTCTTCCTTATTTGGAAACTCTCCTGACCCTCTCATGACTAGCTTCCTCTTTTCTTTGTCCTCTTTCCCTTTTGCCTATTTAGGAAAGTTTCAAGCTGTTAGCCAATCGGGTCAAGCTTAGAATGTGAGGTCCCATTCCAGTCAATGGAAACTGGACACAGTCATAGGGCAATTGCATCAGGTTATGAAGATTATAAATGTCCTCGTCTCCTTTGTTTGAGTGTGCTCTCGTGGTAAGACTGCTGGCGAGTTGCACCCTTTCTGCAGAAAGTAAACTAGCCTTGCTGAGCCATCCATTGCCTTCCCGACGTGATAAACCCGTTTCCAACAGGTGTCTCTGCACAAACATGGATTCAGCACTTTCCAAACACCCACCCTGTTTTAGGGAGCAGGCTCTTTGCAGCAGGCACAGAGGGCCCTGGGAAGGCCTGGGTTTCTGTCTCTTCTCTGGCGGCCAGCAGGCAGCTGCCCTTTGGGGTTTCCTGAGGTCCTGGAGGATTCTGGTTTGGGGAGGGTTCTGGGGCTGTAGTCCAGAGAAAGCCCCAGATCCTCAGGGAGCTGTCTAGTAATGTGACCACTCGCCCGCCAGCATTTAGCAAGCTGCTGCTCTGTGCCAGGCCCATGCTAGGCGGCAGCGACACGGAGGAGCGGGGGCGGTTCTGCCCAATGCTGCTGCTGCTGTTACTCCTCCTTTTGGGTTTAACTCACGTCTATTTTTATGTCCTGATTACACAAGGAACACATGTTCATTGTAGGAAAATCAGAAAAACATATAATAGGCATTCCAAATATATGTGTCATTCAAAAGAAAACAAAATCACTCATCCCCCTGCCCACTAATAACCACTTGCAACACGGAGGGATCCAAACATCCTTCTCATCTTCTCTTAGAGAGCTCAGGCCACACGCATAACTCTTCCCAGCAAGAGCATTTTCTCCTAAGTGTGTGACTAGTGAAAACGGCACCAACACGTACCACAAAGGGAAACCTACTGTCATTTACTTCTGGGGAGGAGTTCTTACCTGTCTGTTCCGAACTTTTGACTGTCAGCTCATATGTTAAATCTAAAAGGGAAATGTTACACATTAATTCTTTTACTGTACATTTCAAAATCTTCATCAGCTTTGAAAATGCAAAACCGATTCCCACGATTAGCCAGCGAGTCCTACCCAGACAGAGCAGGGTTTGGCAGCAGGAGAGGTGAGCATGAGAGCAGCAGAAAACATCTGCGGCCACTGTGCTCCCTGGGGTCAGAGGGCACCCTCTGTTCCCCCAAACTCCCTTCCCCATTCCCCCACAGCATATCCCAACCATCCAAACCAAACAATCCAGCAGCTGGCTCTATGTATCACACAGGCTATATCTTGGTTATCAGTTCCAAAACACATTGGAGATTCTAACCATTGTATTTTAATCTCTTAAGTCCTCAGTATGCCAAGAAAAGGCTTTGCAGCTTTATGCTTAGTGCATCTTGATTATGCAATGAGGATGATATAAGGCATTCAGATGGACTCCTGCAACGATGATGGGAGCTGGGGGCAGGGCAGGCCTAGCACATTCTGACGCTGGGCTCTGCCGTGCCCCATAGCCGCCCCCCGCCTGCCCGGGCCTGCTCCCCGATGTACCTGTGCAGTGCTGCTGCAGCCGCCTGATCTCGGAGTGCAGCCCCTTGAGCGTGCTGGCATGCTCCCGCTGAAGGAACAGGAGGTTCTTCTGTGCGCTGTGCAGCTGGTTCTCCAGGTTTGTGGCTGCCATGCTGACATCCAGAGGACCTGTGGGTAACACAGACCCTGGCTGCGGTGCCTGAAGAGGGTCCCAGGGCTGCCTGCCCTCCTTGGCTCTGGGTGCAGAGGGGTGTGCGCCTCCCAGGAGAGAGCAGAAGGAAACCACGGCTCCTGAAGGGCAGGGTGTGGGGGCACCAGGGCTACATTCCCATCACTGCAGGGAGGCCCCAGGCCAGGGACGGCAGCCTCTGCTTCCCGAACGCCTTGGGGTGTGCCCTAGCACCTAGCACGATGCCTGGCACATGAATGAGTGAGGCCCACTCCAGAGTACAAAGTCATTTCCCTTTACTCATGAGGAAACAGATCAAGAGAGGCAGATTCGCGAGCCTGGGGTCACACAGCCAGTGAGGTATGGAGCAGGGATTCTAATCCAGGGACCCTTGGTTCCAAATCCTGTCCTCTCCACGCACCACCTCACCCCAACAGACTGTGACTGACCAAATCACGCCCAAAAGATTTCCCTGACCAGGAAGCACTGACAGCTTCCTCATGGGAAAAGCTGGCACCTGGGAAATGGGCCAAACATTTCCTCTAAATGGCATCTGGAGCCAGCCAAAGTAGGAGGGAGAGATGGGCTGAATTCCAGAGGGAAGCCCCCTGCACTTCACAGCACTGAGAGGAGCCACAGATCCTTCTTGGGAAGGTCTGAGAACGTATCTCATGGGGCCAGGGGGTGGTGCAGGTGTCTGGAGTCTGTCCCCAATGCTTGGCCCCTCCCAGCCCCAGCTTCCAGCATCTGATGCTCACTCAGGGCCCCAGACTCTACCTTCATCGTAACTCGAGAAATGTGGTGAAGTCATGGGTCTTTCTGGAAAAGCTACCAGAGTAATTCAAGACGCTTGTACAGCACTGAAAAATACTGAGGATGAAATGTGAGTTATTTGCTTATAAATTATTATTGTAAATACAGAACCTCAGAATGCATTTTCCCTAATTTGCTATTCCAGAGAACCCTCCGTAAAGGAGGTACAACTTCTCAATGGCTCCCAGGACGCAGCCCATTTGTAGGATGCCACAGTGGAACCGTTTTGGAGACACTGACACACCCAGGCTGTCACTGCTTCAGACGACACCAATTGCTCATCAATTATCTGTACGACCAGTGACATGCATGCACACTAGCTCTGGAGCTAGGACGAGTTCATAACGAACTTCAGACATACACTTTCATCACACGAAAACACTTCCTGGGCGCTGCTCCGGTGGAAAGCCACAGACTCCACTCCGAGGGCAACCTGAGAACGCAGAGAAGGAAATAAAACACGACGGAGCTCACGAAGGGGAATGAACAATGATACATCCTAAAAAGGACCAAGAAAAAGAGAAACAAGAGGCCCTTTCAGTTGGGGACAAAAACTGGCAGGAGAGGGCAGTGGCCCCAGGACACGGCAAGTACAGTCTCGGGGGGCACCTCACCACGGGCAGTGATTGGGCAGAGCTGATCAGAAGCCTTGGAATTGGTCATCTCTCTGAACTAGCAATTTATTTTTAGAAATCTACCAAAGGGAAATTATTACTTTTGTGTGAAAAGAGGTAGCTGTGAGAATGGTCACTACAGTGCAGTTTGCAGTTGGAAAAGACTAGAAACAAACTCAAAACCCGACAATAGGGAGTGGGTTAAATAACTTAAGGCGACCATTTCTAGGCATGTTTCTATAAAACAAAGCATAGCTCTCCCTGGCCTTTGACTGCCGTCGCACTGGGCTGCAGATGATGGCAGAGTTGAGTTTCCATCAAGCAGGGCTTTCCTCAGTGGAGCCGTGAGCAGCATTCCGGCAGGAGTGAGAAAGGATGTTTCTGTCCCCGAAACCGTCTCTGTGCTGTAACCGCAAACTCTCCTGTGTAGGCTGCTGGGCCAGACACTAGTTTCTAAGTGGAACCCCACAGTTCCCGAGATCCCAACACTGTCTGCACAGCACGTGGTCTTGGGGGGCGCTGACCTTAACAAAGGAGCCAGCTACAACCAAGGCAGGTTCAGCGTGTGGCACACGTGTGCCGCGTGCTTGCTGTGGAAAGGGTGAGCACCTTCTGACCTTGCCCTTCCCTCACAAAGCAGAACGCTTGAAAGCGGAACAGCCTCAGCGTCAAAGGAAGGAAAATCCCAGGAGCGCCTGAGAGCTGTCAGTAGCGGTGCCTACGTTTTCCTTCCACTCAGCAATCCGGAGTCGTTCACTCTGGCATCAATTCCAGCACCTCACCTGGAGGCTGAATCCCGAAGAGCTGAAAGGGGTTTGGAAGTGGGAACTCTAGCAGAGATGCTTTCAAAGGACAGACTCAAATCCAGGATTCTGTTGGCTGATGGAAGAAGCAGAGCCCATATGTTAGTGGCTTGCTGTCAAAGAGAAAGAACCATTTAAATGTGATCCAGAATTTAGTGGGTCTTGGATGACAGGAGAGCTGCCCTAGGCCTAGTGTCCTACCCCTCACAAGCACTGTCCCCAGCTGCACA